>NT_187655.1:0-136959 GCF_000001405.40 Homo sapiens | reverse complement strand
AAGCTTGCATGGCAACCTGACCCCCAACTGCCCTTCCAGCCTCTTATCCTTATACTCCTCTGCCCAGATGAAGGTGGCACCAAGCTCTCCTACCTCCCCTCCATGCCCATGGCCCATGCACCTGCTCACATGGGCCCTGGTGGCAGCGGGTCTTCCCATTCTTCATTGAACAAAATTCCCCTTACTCCTCAAGACACACATCAAGTGTCACTTCTCCCATGAAGTTCTTTAACTTTGAGCCACAAGAAATCCCTCCTCCTTTATAGACCCCCAAACTATTACCTTTTCCTAAATCCTCCTATTAAATACCTTCCTGTTTAAAAACGCTAGTGGCATGTATTTTTCTGATACAGGGAAAATCAGTAGATATTTATTAAATAGAGATAAATAAGTATTATGACGCAGGTAGGTTTTCAGAAAATTTTCCTCAGTTAAATATTCATGGAACTCTTTTAATCTCAAGGAAATAGATGGGAAGGGGTTACGAGTACAGCCCGGCTATAAACTAAGTGCAGAGATGGTTCAAAGCCTCAGTAGCAGGACTCATGAGATTTGATCAATCAAATTGGCTGATGAAGAAGAAACCCCAGAGGCATCCAAACCAGCTAATGAAAAACCATCAGGAATGAATGAAAGGAATTATGCGACCCCTGAAGCCACATCTGGGGATCAGTTAAGGTCCCAAGAGCATTCACATACCACAAAGCTCAAAACTTCCAGACCTTACGTGAGTGCATGTCAGCAAGTTACTGAATTCTAAGCTCCTCAAAGTCCAGAACTTTTGTTCATGTTACTTCTTCATCTTGGTACAGTAGACACAACATAGGCACCTCCTGGGCTCTGCGCCTCCTGGTTCTCAAGCCTGTGTGTGAACGTGTATGAACCCCTTCCTTGGCGTGTAGACTGGGCCTGACACTGCTACTCAACAGAGGGCGGTCAAGGTCATGGGTGTCCCTCCCGTGAGTGGGTGATGTGGTGATGAGACTCCAACCTGCCTGCCACTTGCTCTGGCTCTGTTGCTGGCTTTGAAGCAGCTGCCATGAATCCTACAGCCACAAGGAAATAAATCTTACCAGCTGGCTGGGCGAGCTTGGAAGCCAGCACCAACTCAGCCAAGCCTCACAAGCTGACACCTTCATGGCAGCCTTGCTGAAGACCCAGCTACGCCATTCCCAGACCCTGGACTCTCAGACACTGAGATGACACATGTGTGTTGTTTTCCACTGCTAAGCTTACGGTAGTCTATTATGCAGCCATAGAAATCTAATACATCTAGAATTGCAATTTCCCTCCGCAGCACCTTCTTGGTATATTAATTGGGATATGTATTTCCGCCTTGAAGCTTAGTTTTGAACACATCTAACTTTCATACTTCTTGGTAAAATCAATTAAGACAGACATCATATTTATGCCCACATATTTACATAAAGTGCCAAACAGAGCTTCATTCATGGCAGGCAATTATAAAATTTTATTGGATTGAAATTGAGGTGAAGAAGATTCTAGAACATAGAATCAAGAACTGACGAATCCTAATACCACAATAATCCAAGGACTTTAGCGCTGTTCTTACAAAGGGCTTTTGAGGTTAAGAACTTCCTAACTTAAAATTATCATAGATAAGACTGTCAAAGCACACTACTGACACCTCTATTTGCAATGCTGCCCAAGTCCCAATTAGAAAAATACTATTTTGTTCTTGTTTTGTAAAATTCTGCAGTTAAAGCACACCCCCTGGGGTGAGTATAGCTCATTTCTTCCCCATTACTATATGTTCTTTATATTTTCTATATGTTCTTTATCCTCACCTTAACTGAAAGAAATCATAAGTGACTTTACTCATGTACCATCATGGGTTCAACAATCTGAAGGACATTTCTGCATAAATATCCCCTAAACATTAAATTGTCCAAAAAGTCGTACACATAGTCTTCCTCTCCTCTGGAAAGACTAAGAAATGCTTATGTTTAACCAAATGGAACACTGAAATTATTTTTATGGCTTAAAGCCTTTCATTGTCAAAGGGATCTTCATTATGTAATTCATTTATCAAATGAAAGGCAGTTATAATTGCCTATGCCTAAAACATATAGATAAGAGGGTCACACCACTGATTAGGTAAGGTAGAGAAGAAGGCACCAGCTACACAGGGATCTCTTTTCTGCAATATGTCCTTGGCTTGACTAAAGAAATACATCATTTTTATTAAAATCTGAATTTTACTAAACCTGATTTTTAAAGATTCATCAAGTTCCTGACAGTACCAGTAAGTAAACAGAATGATATGCAGTTGTTTTTTTAAGTTAGCATAAGGATTTAATTGTATTGGAATTCATTTATCCTTCTTGATATTTATCCCTCAACCAACAACAGGTAAAGTAATTGAGTAATGACCAGGCTCACGACTGCGCCGATGACATGGGGAGCAGAGTCCCCAGAGAGCTGAGGCTCTTTCAAGTCAAGGACCATGCTGTCTAATTCTGTTCTTACAACTGGAAGAGATCTTAGAAAGAATATAGATCTTCTTTTCCACTTTTATAGATAAAATAATTGAGAGTCCAAGGGAGTGAGTGGCTTGTCCGACGCATACAGCTCTTTGGTGGAGGAGAAAGAGCTGGAACACAGCTCTGCTGACTTCCGTGAGCACGGATGCCACTCCCTCACCTGACCTGGCGTGAGGTATCATCTGAATAAATGAGAAAAGAAAGGCATGTCTCCTGAATGTTGAAATTGCAAGAGACTACTGAGAAGCTGTTACTGACAATGATGACTAAAAATAATAACTTGTTTTTTAAGATGTTTGATGAGCCCCATCCCTACCAACTCCCTACCAATACCCAATCTAGAATCATGTTAAATTACCAGAGATTCAAGATAACGTTTCCGCTGTCAGCATTGTCACGGACATGACACATCTGCCTAACTGTCCTTGTGCAGTCACTGCCCCAGCAAATAGTGGGGAGTTGGACCCCTTAGAGAAACGTGCGGAGAAAGGTGAGGTTTCAGAGCAAGCCGGCCCTGCCAAGGGTGGGGGTGCTCCCTGACGTGGGTATGCTGATTCCTGCCCCGACCTCGGTGCAGCTGCTGCCAGCCTGGAAGCCCACCCCACCACTCATTTCGGATAACACTTGGATACTCAGATACTGACCTGCCTGGCTGATACTTCGATACTCCGATGCTGACCTACCTGGCTGATACTGGGATACTCATCTGCTGGGCTAATACTTGGATACCAAGACAGCTCAAGAATCATCTGTTTCATAATCATTTTTTTTTCTAATTCTCCTGACTCCTGGTAAAATTGGCCACTCCCATTTGACCCCACACATCTATCACAGGTCAGATGTTTGTTTTATATGCTTCTTGCTCTATGTATTTCTCCGTGCTCTCTTAATTTCTGCATCCTTAGTGCTTAGTCTAGAGCCTACCAAAAACAGGCTGCCTAGATTAATTTGAAATAGCAACAACAAAAAAATACAGTTACCAAATAACTGGGGGGGCTACATAGGCACAGATATACGTCTGCCACTTCAGAATGGGGAAGAAGCACATGTTATAAGTCACTCCTGGGTTCCAAAAATTCATTAGTAAAATAGCCACACTTTGAATGAAACACTATATTTCTGAGATTTCTAGATTCTGCCCTAAGGAAATAATCATGAATGAGCATGCAGATAAAGCTATGGACATAATATTCCAGAAGGTACAACTTGTATCAGAAAAATGATTAGAAACAGCTTAAATTTCCATGAAAAGGGGACCAATTCAGTAAATCACAGTGGACCCACAAAATGGAATAATATGCAACCACTAAAAATGATATTTAGGAACATATGTGATGTTATATGATTCCATAAAACAAACACCTATTCCTTGCTCATGACATTCCTGAAAACTCTGCCACAACATGAAAACTTAATTTTATTAATTTTAGTGAGAAAATGATAACGTCTTCCCATCCAAGATACTGAAGTTCTTTTTGCCAGTATAAAATATCAATTAAACAATGAAAACAACTTTACGTTTTAAATAAGCACTACATTTAAAGAAAACCAAGACATTTGGCCAATAAAATGTGAACAAGAGTGTCTTGTTCTACTCATCCAAGCAGACTTTCTAGAGGAGTCTGGGGACGTGTGCTGGGAAGTCAAAGCACCGACACAAGACGCACCACCTTTGGGCTTCCTGGTCATCGTGTACTCAAACCGCACTTAATGTGAAAACTATAGCAAGAGAAACACCTTCAGGGTAAAGCAAAGGCCGAACATGTGAAGATACACATGCAAGCAAAGTGAAGATGCCGCCTCAGCAGCCCTCCCGTCCCCCCTCACCCTTCCCTCCCCGGCACCCACTCAGCAAAGCCGGGTGGGTTTCCCAACGTGCGGCCAAGATCCAAAACGGTTCCATCTGATAGTGCCCGACGCGAATCTACATTCCAAGTGAATTCATGTGTCAGTCCAAGACACTAATGTTGAAGTATCACTTTTCATAGTGTTTGGGTAAAAAAGCAGCTATCATGATTTTTTAGGTTGTTATGAAAGAAATATAACATTGAGAGCTAGGGTCGGGGGGGGAGTGTTGATTGGAGTTGAGAGAGAGCAACTCCTTGAGCAATGCCTGAGTCTCTCCGTGGCAGGATGACAGTGAGTTTATATACATTTATATATATTATATATATATTTATATATTATATACACATTTATTTATATATTATATATTTATTTTTATATATTATATATTTTTATACGTTATATATTTATTTATATATTCTATATCTATTTATATATTACATTTATTTATATATTATATTTATATATATTATATATTTATTTATATATTATATATATTTATATACTATATATATTTATTTATATATTATATATATTTATATATTATATATTTATTTATATATTATATATATTTATATATTATATATATTTATATATTATATATTTATTTTTATATATTATATATCTTATATATTTATTTATATATTATATATTTTTATATATAATATATATTTTTATATATTTATTTATATATATTACATATATTTTATATATATATATGTCCTATTAGCTCTGTCCCTCTAGAGAACCATGACTCATACAGGGACAAAGTTCCAGAAGCCCTAGAGTGAGAACTACTTGGACCCTTTTCCTATAAACTTCTTACAAATAGAGGTTTTGCATTATCTTTTTGTCTTTGTGAAGATCTGGGAATGAAAAGAAATTCAGTTTGCATGAAAATGATGCTGTTCTGAGTTCCACCTGCATCTGGGATTGACGCTGATGTCTGACTGGAGAATGAAGTCATCTCCGGATGGCCCCAGGACCAGTGTCCAAGGCCTTAATGGTAAATGTGATGTATGTGAGCACTCCTTCAGCATCTGGGGTGCAAATCTATTGTGTTTTTTTTTTTTTCCATTCCAAATTCCCTGCTCGAGCTAGAGAGTGTACCTGGTTCTATCTGCTCTGTGGGCATCTAGTAAGCTACGATGCCTCACTGAGCCCCCAGTTACTTAATTGTAGACTGAGGGATCTGGACCATGTGACCGTAAAGGAATGATTTTTCCCTCCCCTTAACATTGGGATCAGGTTTTATACATAATAACTCCAGAGTTGCTCTGTGTAACTCAGGGAGGCACTGGGACCATGACATTGAGCCAGTGCTCGAAATTAAATTGCAGGTCCTCAGGGATCCTCTCTGCCTGGGCTGGAGCCTTCACCAATGTGGGCTCTGTCTGTCTGTCTGTCTGCGGTAGAGCAAGCAATAAACAGGGAAGTGAATCAGACAGCTGGGACTGCGGACACAGCAGCAGGCAGTGAACACTCACTCATGGCTGCCGCAATTCCTAGCACTGGATTAGGAGAGGTCTACAAGGAATATTCATAAAGTAATTGCTACCGAAGGAATTAAAGCCAGAGAGCATTTTAAGTTGATGAGTTAAGAGAAAGAGGGTTTCTTGCCTCCTTTTGTTTGGAATTATATACCAAACATCCAGCCTGAATGTTTGGTATGTAATTCTTAGCTTTAGTTCAGCTTGACCACAATTACGGCAAAAAAAAAAAAAAAAAAAAAAAAAAAAAGATAAATGAAAACAACTATCTCAGAAAACAAATCCAAAGTCACTCATTTTATGGTTTATGTTCTAAAACAAATCCAAAGTCACTCATTTTATGGTTTATGTTCTAAAACAAATCCAAAGTCACTCATTTTATGGTTTATGTTCTAAAACAAATCCAAAGTCACTCATTTTACGGTTTATGTTCTAAAACAAATCCAAAGTCACTCATTTTATGGTTTATGTTCTAAAATAAATCCAAAGTCACTCATTTTATGGTTTATGTTCTAAAACAAATCCAAAGTCACTCATTTTATGGTTTATATTCTTATACATGTTGGCTTATTTTATGGTTTATTTTCTTATACGTGCTGGCTTATTTTCACGTTCACATGAGAGTCTGTGTGGGGGCACAAGTGTGGTTGTGTCATGCGTGCGTCATTCCAGTACACTTATGGTGGGTGGGGAAGAGTTCACAATTTTAAATAATTTTATTTGTTAAATAAGTTTAAGATTTATTTGAAATATAAATACATAATTTATTTTAAAATTAAAATATTAAGTTAAAAATTTAAGATATAATTTTAAAATTTTCTATAAATGTAAAAAAATCTGACTCTTGCAAATTCCGATATGCTGAACAGAGCCGTCACGCTGTTAGAATTCTAATGATTTTATCTCAAAGCTTTTATTTAAATTGACAAGACTTTCATATATGAAAAATGGTTACTGAATGACTCAGGTTTGGAACTGATTTCAAAATCAGAAAGAGCATTAGTGAGCACACACCTTATTGTCCAGAGTCAGAGCAGATTCCCGGCTATATATGAAGATATTAAAGTCCATAAATTTCATTTAAAGTCTCCCATTTGGAATTCTACACCAATGTCATTCTAGCCTTTTGCTCTTTGAACAGAATCCCACTTAGCTCCCTGGGAATTCTACAACAAGTTTATCTTAATTTAACATGCAGCAGATATCCTGATTCATTAGAAGCACCTTTGAGCAGAGGTACCACATGGGCTGGAGAATTTGGATTAAATTCAAATTCAGGCCAAATATGCCTGCAGTAAACTCCAAGGGCTTGTGCAGAGCCAGGGGCTACTGGGAAGGATGGAGCTGCCTCTGCACATGATAAAGCCGTCACGGCACGTCTGAAGCAGCAGAGCAGGACGTTCCTGCCGGCCATCCACACTTGAGCACGTGAACTGCCGCAGCTCGAGACTCCTGGTCATCCATCTTGAGCATAAAACTCGTCAAGTTAAGGTGGGGCATAAAGGCACATTGACCCCCTGGGTCTCCACTCCATAAGCCAGCTGTGTGACCTGGGGTGATTTAGGGATGTGAGCTGTGCCTCATGCTCCCAAGCAAATGCTCAGCTGGCAACAGGGACTCAAGTCCCCAGCAGGGCTCTCTCAGAGCAGCCCACGTGGCTCCCGGACTTCCTACTGCTCCCACCTCTTTCCACACCCAAGTACTGGATATTAGGGTGCATGTGTGTTTGTGGCTGGTGGGAGGGCCCCCCTGTAGACTAACCCGGCCAGGTCCACTCAGACAAACACCTTCCAGAGACAGCTCTGCATAGCTATCCACAGCTACTATTTACTCATTTTTATCATAAGAATGGGCCTGAGGTAAAAATTCAGGACCCGGACCAGGATCAACCCCAGTGGTCAAATGGACTTTGTTGGAGATATTCAAGGCAGAGGTGGACCCAGATGGCTTTGGAATGTCAGCACACTCCGAACATTCCTTCCCAGGTTCCATAACCCACGGCACAGAAGCTCCTCTTTTCACCTTTTACGTGGTCATGAATCTCCATGAAAATCTGATGAAAACTACACACCCTTCTGCCCCCAAAGCCTCTACAGATGTTTACAACAGTGACAGGGACTTGCAGGCCGGCAGCTCATGGACCTTCTTTGACAGCTCTAGAGAGCCGTCTGTTGCATGATGGGAAGAGTCACCCGTGGTCCGAGTCCTACAGACCCTGAAACCTTGACACCACACTCCTCAGGCCTGGCCTTCCCATAGGGTCCTGCACACCAGTTGTCAAACGAATCTCCCATGTCCAGCGCTTCACACTTGATTATTCCCTTCCACAGCTGAAATCATTTGCATTGCTTTGGCATGATCATAAAACAAAGTTTAAAATGTTACAGAATTTGTATGATATATAGATATATTTATATGGAACACAGATGTGAATATATATTCTATATAAAACGTTTATGTGTAATATATATGTTTTCTATATATAAAATGTTTAATATAGATACGTACATAACTTCTATATACAAAACTTCTAAATATATAAAACATCTATATATATAAAAACTTTCTTTTCCAGCTCAATCTCACTTTTTGGAAATTCCTTGGCCCCTACCACAATATGCTTGCACACTCTGGACCCGCTATGCATTGTCTACATTCACTCACATAAAATGAGTTGATGTTTCCATCTCTAACTGCAGAAATACCAACTCAAATTCAATTTGTCCTACATTTTACCTAAAATGAGGGTATCCTAATTGCTTTTAAAATGTGATTACATCAACTTTCTTATTTTTTATTTGAGAAAACGGAGAATAATGAAATCATTCTAGGCTAGGCATGGTTGCTCATGCCTGTAATTCCAGCATTTTGGGAGCCTGAGGCAGGCGGATCACCTGAGGTCAGGAGTTTGAGACCAACTTGGCCAACGTGTAGTGAAATCCCATCTCTACTAAAAAAAATCCAAAAACTAGCTGGGTGTGTTGGCACACACCTGTAGTCCCAGCTAGTTGGGAAGCTGAGGCAGGAGAATGACTTGAACCCGGTGGAGGTTGCAGTGAGCTGAGGTTGCACCACTGAACTCCAGCCTGGGTGATAGAACAAGAGTCTGTCTCTTAAAAAATAAATTCATAAATAAATAAAAATTAAAAAGAAATCATTCTAATTGGATCTCCAGAATTTATTCATCTTAAACAACAAGTTTGTAGCCTTCAACCAACATTGTCCCATTTCCCCTCCCCCTGAGCCCTGGCAGACACCACTCTACCCTGTTTCTATGAGTTCACCACTTGTGGGAACCATTTTTATAAAACAGTAGATCAATATTCATCATCATTAGAGTACAACCATTGCTGTATTTACAACTCTTTATTGCAACTACTGATTGAATTTTCAGATGTTTCTCGGATGTACAACTATCTCGTTCGTGCCTGTGTTTCCTCGGTACTCAGATAATGCCTGATAAATGGGCTTGGGGCAAGACACATGAAGTGAATAATCAACAAATGCACAAGGAGGTTCATAAAGTCAAGTCTCCAGAATAAAAGTAAAACAGAAGTCACTATGTCCCCAGTGTGTGCCATGCATTGTGCTTAAAGAGCATAATTTTCAGAATCGCATTGAAATGGGCGCACCCCCCCGGCTGAGGAGTCCAGATGCCATGAAGTCACACCGCTGGCTGGAGGTCTCTCAGTGCTGGGTGGAGAAAGCTGGATTTTTACCAAGGCCTGTTTGGCACTAATCTTGACTCCCAATTCATGTTATTTTCTCCTTTTCACATGTTTTCTTTTTTGTGGGTTTATGATTTAATTAATTATTTAATCATTTAATTTGGTAATGGTTAGTTTGCCAAAATTAACTATGACTTATTTCATGAAGACGTGGGGAAAGAATTTGAGAATTGCAATATTAGGAAATGGGTCATCCGTCATTACAATTCTGAAATTTAAAAAATTACTTCCCATCTACCTTTTTGCAACACGTCTAACAATAAGAAACAGTTTTACTAAGTAGCAGGTCAACGGTGTATACAGTCGTGGAAACCAAATTTACGAAGAACATCTAGAAAATAAAAATCAGACCCTGACAGCAGAGGTTTCACTCTGTAGACACACACACAGAGAGGTAGACACACACACACACAGAGACACACAGAGAGAGGTAGACACACACAGAGAGACACACAGAGAGAGGTAGACACACAGAGAGACACAAAGAGAGAGGGAGACACACACACACACACAGAGACACACACAGAGACATAAATAGAGAGACACACACAGAGACACACAATTTTAAGGCAAAGGAAATTTTACTGGGAGAACGTCAGGGTCAGAGAAGTTACGTTCTTAAGAAGCCCCCACTTCAAATTAATGGCAAAGAGGTTAAGACAGTGGTGCCTGCTTCCTGGCCTGACTCTGTCCGCTGGGCTTAGAGCCTGCATTTCTCCTGAGGAAAGTCAATCTTGGACGTAAGGCAAGAGTGGAAACAGAGGACACATATACTGAAAATGATTTTTAAAGCAAAACAAATGCTTCTGCATCCTATAAGTCAATGAGGCTGTGACGATCAAAAGTCACATTCATTCTCCCCATTGCCCACATCACAGGTTCTACTTTTCCTTCTATTTCTGGACATTTTTCAGAGCTGTTGCTCCAGGACATCTGCAGACGTTGCTCCTCTGTTGATCCAAGTCCCTTCTGTGTATACGGTTCACAGCTCTCATATTCTCAATCCCATGCTGTTGGCTGTACACAGCATCCTGCACACGGCTTCCCATCTTGGTGAGACAAGACCCACCTGGTTTTTAAAAATCAAAGCAACCCATGGCCAGCAGGAGAAAGTTTTGCATCATGGTCAGTCAACAGGACCCCAAGGGAAATGGGAAAAGACCACCCGCTACTGTATGTTGAGAAGGGCAAGGCCTGTGATGAAAATGCTCCCCGCCCAGGAAAATACCGGTTTCAAGATGCACAGTTTCTTCCACACACAGGATTCTGCATGTGCCTCTCCACGGTCCATGAAGAGGAGATGAAGATTTAGTTCAATTTATTTTAGAAAATGAGTCACTCAGCGAGTTTCCCTTTTTGGTTCCAGGGCTTCTGGCGCGCCCATTACACCACGGTGATTCTCTAGCTTTAAAAATACAATGTCAGTGTCTAAAAATCCTCGCCAGCCTTTTTTGCTTATTTCTAGGTTCACAGCTTGAGTTCTGGGTCATCTGATCACAAGATTGGCTGGGGGAGGGGGGTGCACAGTCATTCTATTCTGGGGTGTTTTCCTTCCAAGGTCATTTTACAAAGGTGGGTGCTGCAGACATTTCACTCCTTCGTAATGGGTAACATTATTGTTAGATGTACCAATCAGAGAGGAGAGCACAATTAGGGATTCACAGCCACAATAATACGGGGTTTCAGGGTTGAGGGGGTCTTACTTCTCCCAGTCACATAAACAGACAAAGAAGATCTAAAACTCAGCTCAAATGTGTAAACACAAGCCCTGGAGCAAGTGTTACAGGAAGGTGGATGGCTCTGACCTAGGCTCACCGCAACTGCTGTGTGAAGCCACAGAGCCACGCCGTGCCACACGGGGCGGTCTTTCCAGCAGGTCCCATCCTCCCCGTACCAGGAGCCTCTGCAGGCTGGGAGCTCCAGGCTGGAACACCCTCTGGCTCCTCCTCCCGGCACCCAGCATGGTGTCCTGGGACTCATTTACTGCTGTGAAATGCAGGCAGGAAAATCAAGAAAATCCAGGAGAAGGGCAGGGAAGGAAGCAGCAACGAACATGGCCCGGAGAAGAGGTGGCAGACGGGCCCACCGATGAAGGGGTGAGCCAATGTACAGTTGCTTAGGAGCCCAGAATATTTAGACTTGATGAATTCACATCTGTATGCCCTATTGGTTCATCAGGGAATTCTGTTCCTTGTCTCTGGTCTCCCTCCAAGATTCATCTCAGACCAAGGACTACGGCTGAGCTACCTGCAGAATCAGCTGCAGATAGAGCTGAGGGTTCCACTGCCGTTGGCTCTGGCCATGTCATTCTGCCACAAAGCCGACTTAGCCTGAAGGTCTAAGTCAAATAAAAGCTTCTTTGTCTTTGAAAATGTCTTAGCACCTGCCAAGTCAGAGTGAGACCCCAGAACAATGCTGACATTTCCCAGTGTGCAACATGAGGTGCATAATTGGGAAATGTTTTTAAATTTTTAAAGAAACAAGTAGTAAGTTGAGATAATGTGGCTTCTGCAGAGACATGTAACTCTCAGGAAATCTAATAACCACCCAACATCTTTGTATTCCTGGAGCTAAGGAAGATGATAAGAATTCTCTTAAGGATACTTGACTCTCAGCAGATCAGCGGAAAGATGTTAAATTGGGGGCATTTTATGCTTCTTGTGAAATGGCACGAATGATGTTCTCATTTTAAAACAAAGTTCCTGCTTTGGAGATGGCGACACTCTAACGCGGAAGACAGCTGTCAGACGCTATCCCACATTAAATTTCTCTCTTTGGCCAATTATTTCAATATTGCAAATGAGTTTATTATGAATTACTGAGAATAATTCTAATATTTCTTTTCCTCAACATGCAATTGCATATATTTCCATCTCCCAAATATGCTTCAAAATTCAACAATTAGGCATGTTTAGCAACAAGAAAATAGGGAGTATTTTCTCCAATCACACTAAACCCACGGCCTGATGTTTAAATTACCCAGTGACCAAAAATATAAAATATTTATGTATTCCTGAGACTATCATGGAGGTAAAATTGTTTCAATGCCAGAATACCTGAACCTCTGATATTGGATATTATTTCTTAAAAAGAAAGAAATTTGCAAACTAGGGTTTATTTGTGAATTTTATATCATTCTGCATAAATGGGTAATTGTCGCAATCTCAGACACCAGATGGTATGTTCAATTCATCCCCGTTTCACTCTATCTTATCATATTGAATAGCTGTGGCTTCACCTCTGATTCTAAATGCAGCACTTATATTGTAATAAGAACAGACATCCATGAAGCCAGCTTTATGTATTTGATTCAAAACTACAGGGCTATGAAATGCAGAGGACTAGGGTGGGTGTGATGGAGGAAAAACCAGTTCCCATGCTCAGAATTCCCATAGAACCAGCACTGAGCTCAGCGTGGGACAAACATTCTGCCCCAACAGACATCTGCAGAGGAGAAAAAGGGAAGGGATGGCAAAGGAAGTCCAACAGAGTTGCTACGGAGGGGGCCAGCGACACGGAGGACGTGGGCGTCTCATCACGGAAATGGTGTCTGAGCTGACCCTGGAGGCCTTTTTGTAGACCTATTTAATATTTATCTTATCTTATCTTATCTTATCTTATCTTATCTTATTTTATTTTATTTTATTTTATTTTATTTTGAGCGGGAATTTTGCTCTGTCTCCCAGGCTGGAGTGCAGTGGCACAATCTCAGCTCACTGCAACCTCCACCTCCTGGGTTCAAGCGATTCTCAGCCTCCCAATTAGCTGGGGTTACAGGCGCCCGCCGCCACACCTGGCTAATTTTTGTATTTTCAGTAGAGATGGGGTTTCACCATGTTGGTCAGACTGGTCTCAAGCTCCTGACCTCAAGTGATCCACCGCCTCGGCCTCCCAAAGTGCTGGAATTACAGGCGTGAGCCACTGCACCCAGACCTTTTTATTTTATTTTATTTTATTTTATTTTATTTTATTTATTTATTTATTTTGAGATGAAGTCTCGCTCTGTTGCCCAGGCTGGAGTGCAGTGGTGCAATCTTGGCTCACTGCAAGCTCCGCCTCCCTGGTTCACGCCATTCTCCTGCCTCAGTCTCAGGGGTAGCTGGGACTACAGGCACCCACCCCCACGCCTGGCTAATTTTGTTTTTGTATTTTTAGTAGAGACAGGATTTCACCATGTTAGCCAGGATGGTTTTGACCTCCTGACCTTGTGATCTGCCCACCTAGACCTCCCAATGTGCTGGGATTATAGGCGTGAGCCACCGCGCCCTTTTTATTTTTAATACAAACTATTACACATCCCCTCTCCCCACTGAGTGTGCATCTTCTGCTGGGATAACGCATTAATGAGCAAGCCATTCATTATCCAAGCAGAAGCTGCACACACAATGGGGAGAGGGCATGTATTCCAAAGTATTCCTCGATAGCTTTCTCTTTGTTCATAAAACACACACACAAACACATATACACACACTGGGTCTGCACTCAACACTCCCCTCCCCCCTCACTGTATCATGCTTTTATTGTAAAGCCTTCAACGTCCCGGGTGCACCCACGGAGGCGTACGTCAGTGCGTGGTGACTGAGAACAGAGGGTGCATATTTCATATGTGGTTAAACAGCATTGGACAGACCAGTAGGGGCAAGATTATGAATGTGGAATTTATCCAACAGAGGAGGAACTGACAGGATTTAAGGAAGCAAATAATATGATCTGACTTATGCTTTGGTAATAGTTATTTATGGCTGGCCATAAAGAGCAGGTTGATGGGGAGAGGGATTCTTGGAGCTTCTGAGGACCCCGGGAAGGGACAGCAGAGATGCTGCTTCCTGCTCCACACCTTGCCCCGTAGACAGAGTATCACCCAGGTGAATCTGCGCTCATCTGGAAACCAGAAGCGTCCTGCAAATATTTCCAATAAAAGCATGGCTGCTTGGGTAAGTGCTTGCTAAAATGCCACATAAGCCAAAAGGGGACTGAAGTCAAGCAAAAAATTAAACTTTGTGAACTTGGCAAGAACCCCCTTTCGCAGATAGTAGACAGCGTCCCTGTTGGGAATGCTGGGGGCCAGGGAAACCTCCCTTTCAGAGCGTCTCTGCTTTTCCTGGGTTACACCCACTCCCTTCAGTGAGGTTCTATGTCCTCAGACAAGGGTGTCCCCTGTCATAATTTTTCATTTGTTGGTTTCTCCTTGTAATCATTTTTTTCTTTGCATATCTTGAATCTATTATAAAGTAGATGGTTCTTATAGCTTCTTGGAGCAGATTCCGTTTATCATTAAACAATGATTTTATCTATAAAAATACCTGAGTCATCCTACCATGTGCTTTGTGTTGTATGAGCCTTTTTCTCTCCCCTCCCCTACCTGTCTACTCTTCTATTCACCTTTATATTAAATATTTTGCATTCTATTCACTCTCTTTATTGTCTCAGAAATTCTTAGACATTATTCCAACATCATCTGGCATCAGTATTGACTACGAAAACTCTCCTGAAAATCAAGTACACTTGTCTGTATTCTCTCTGGCTTTATTGATTCTTTGTCTCCTATTCCGTGGTTTCACTTTAGAAGGCATGGGAGTGTCTGTACTTGTCTGGCTTCAGTCTTAGGAGTCTTTAGATCAAAGAGGCCCAGTATATTTCTTCACTTCTAGGAAAATCTTGGCCTTTACTTCTTTGACTAATGCTGCTTCTCCTTTCTCCCCATTCTTTTTTAATTTCTCATTTAATTCCAGACATGTGTTTGTCTTTCTCAAGCCATCTTCCACGCAACTTGATTCTTCTATTTCCCTTTATATTTTTTATGCAAAGTTCTAGGTGATATCCTAGTATCTACTTCCCAGTTTGGCAACTCTCTTTTCAGCTCTGTCTAATCTACTTTATAATAATATATCCACAGAGTGGTCAATTTAAATGACCCATCTTGTTTCCAGATATTCTGTTTGTTTTTAAGTCTTTCTTTCCTCATAATAGATACTTCTTACATTATGGCTCCTGTTTCTTTTGAAAATCTATTTAATAATTATAAACGTATCCAATATCTAGGCAAGTCTATTACTTCTAGGGCTTTGGTTGTTCATTCTCCTGTTGTATCTTCTTATTCCCTGTACTATTCCATTTTCATAGTGCTATGAAGAAATACTCGAGACTGGGTAATTTATTTTTAAAAAGAGGTTTAATGGACTCAGATTTCCACTTGGCTGGGGAGCCCTCACAATCATGGTGGAAGGCAAAGGAGGAGCAACGGCATGTCTTACATGGCAGCAGGCAAGAGACCATGTGCAGGGGAACTGCCCTTTATGAAACCATCACATCTCATGAGGCTTATTCACTATCACGAGAACAGCACGGGAAAGACTCACCCTCATGATTCAATTACCTCCCACTGGGTCCCTCCCATGGCACGTGGTGATTATGGGAGTGACAATTCAAGATGAGATTTGGGTGGGGACACAGCAAAACCATATCACTTCCTTAAAGTTTCTTTATATGGGTTATGCTCTTTTCTGTATGTTTATCTAAAGTGGGTACTATTTTATAGTGGAGAAGTCCTTTGACCCCTATGTTGTCAAGAATTCTGTGTACATAGTTTGTGATTTTGATTCTGCCAGAGCCCTTAGGTTCTGACAGAATCATAACTGATTCTGGAACAACTTTCCTATGAATGTCATCATGTGGTCCTTCTGCAACATACAGGTAGTATAAATTCAGATCTCAGATCCATACCTGGAGTGTGCATTTCTCATTGGTAACTTTATATCCTATCCATGGCCCTGGATGTGCGATGAGCTTCCTCCACACTTTCTCAGGCATGTTTTTCCAGTTCTTTTCTCACAAACGGGGAAGCTGGGTGAGTGTCTGGGTTTGATTCAAGGGGCTCAATTACAGTGTTTCCACCACCCCTACCTGACAGGGCACAGACCGCAACCCCAGCCCCATCCCAGGCCCCTTTCTGGGATTGCATCTCAGGAGCGACTGCAGCTGGAACTCGTGCTGATCCCCTGGTTGGAATTCCTTCTTAGTTCTTGGGGCTCAGGGGATCCCCTTTCTTTTGTTTTCATCCAAGCTCAACTATGCACTGAAATAAATTGTGTTACATATTGTACAGCATTTTATTTATTCTTAGTGGGCATGGGACAGGGGTCAACTCAGTCTTCCATCTAGACTAAGAGAGGAGCAGCATTCTCCCTCTTACCCTAGAGACTGTTTTCTGATTTCCACCAAAACCCTAACCATGTTCAGGTCCTAGAAGACAGACTGGCTAGAGCTGAGTCTGTTTTCCTTCAAATATTAGTGGAACTTTTTAGTTCTTAAGCAACAATAATCACTAAAAACCACAAATAGCAATCAGAAAAGATCATTTTTATACAAAGCATTCAATTAAAGAGCTGTGGTCTCAGAGAGACAGGGTGGCAGCTGTCTTTGAAACAGTGGTGCCCTCCCTCTCCACAGAGAGCAGAGAACAGGGCTGGGGTTATTTCTAAGCTCTTCAATATGCAATTTCAAGAAGCAATCCTATCATTTTTTCCCCAGAATTGTTAAGAGGTCTTAAAATGTTAAGACAACACATATTCAATTAAGGTTAAAAACAAAAACCCACTAAGGAGACTGCATTGTTTCGAGTCACTTGTGGGGAAAATCTTGAATATCTTGTATTTAAAAAGCAAGAACTTAATGCTACTAACTGCACGAAAACTTTCCCAATATCTTGATTATGAGTTATGAAGGGAGAAGAGGTGGCCTGGGTTCCTCCTAGTTGTGATAAAATATAGGATTCTGTATGTCTTCCCAAAATTCTAAAATATAAGATTCTGTAGGTCTTCCCAAAATTCCAAGGGCAGCATGCAGATTGTGTTTTCCAATAACCAAAGTAAAAACAACAAAAATGAAAACAGATTTAGAAAGAAAATCTCTTACCTTAAACTACTTAGTTTTTTTAAGACTTGAATTTTGCTTTTAGCCTGGAATTTCTAAAACATTACCCAAATAATCCAATATATATTTCTGCCATCACAATCATCTATTGCTTCTTAAAGTTCCAATCTTGAGGCCTCGATTGCTAAAGAATCGTTCATGTCAACGTATCCCAACATTTTTGTAGCATTTTCTAATGCTACATTTATATAATAATATTAATAGCTGATTTTATTTCTTAGATTTAATGGGGGCAAATAACACAGATCGAAGACACTGTTAATACGTCACTGTGGATTTCAAATACATTCTCCCGGCCCCACCAGGCATCATTATCTGTCTTCCCACATCGGAAAATCTATCTGCTGTGGTGACAAATCAAGCCATAAAAATGTAAACCAACAGACAAATCCATGAACTGACATCTGTGGCCCCACCCAATGTCCATAAATTTTCCTGTGTTCTAGTTGAAAAGCGAGTAGTATCATGCATCTGTCAATAAAGCTTAAAAAGAATCAGGTACTCTTAAATTATTTTCCGATATTAAATTGACAGATTATATCGCACACGGATTTTTGCTATGTCAAGATAAACCAGCCTGCCCTCTTATTGCTATATAGTAACTGGTTACTGCCTTTATCTAAAAGGTAACAGGAATCACTAAGAAAATGATATAAATTGAGACCGTCTTAGTATTAAATTGGCAAATTATTATGACAACTGAGATTGTTCTGAGTAAATTTATTATTATTATCAGGAGAGGTCTCTGCAAAGCAGAACCCTGTAGAAACTGCATTCCTGTGAATGGCATCCAGACCCTCGTTAACTAAAATGCCGCTCCATTTTCACGCCACGCTGCATTTCAAGGATTTAGTTGGGCTGTCTGTATCTTCTTGGTAGGAACAAAGGTACCAGTAAATAATAATCAATCTTTTAAACATTTTTATCTCATGAAAACATAGTCTCACAAGTTTCAAAACCTCGTAATACAGAACATGTAAGTAATTTGCATATTGAGATCATGATCTACATTTTATATACAATTAAAATTTTAAGTTCTCTGAAAAACAGGCCACACCATCGTAGAGATTCCCCAACTGTAGAATTCTGAGGTCTCCAGCATCCTGTAAACTTTGTCCCTGGTTGCGTTTGTTTGACAGATATTATCATCTGAGACTGGGCTAATTATTCAATCTGTATCCAAAGAAGTAGCTCTCACAGACAGAACTAACCATTAAAATGCAAATAGGTGTTTCCCACTTCACTGGCTTAGCCACGGAAGGCTGTTAACAGCTTTCTGACAAGAAAGCGAGATGCTAAATGAGGTGGTGCCTTAACCTTCTGGATGTAATGAGCGCTGCACACCCACATCCGAGCCGCACACGCTGCCACCAGCCTCTGGCTGGTCATTTCTGTGCCATGACATTTATGAGTTAACTCGCAGAAGCTGCTGAAGAAATTACCAAACAAAAAGGCTGATTTCAGATTCCACTCTCTGCGCCCAGCCAGCTCTCACTTAGACTAATTACTTAAATGATTTTAAAAATATATGAATATTCATATGACAGTGCTTTGCGAAAACTAAAGCACAGCTGAGACCTCGCCACAAACCCTTCCTCCTCCCTGATCTGGAGCAACTGCACTCGTACATCTGAAACACGGGGTGGCTTCAGAGAACCGCAGCCCAGTGAGAAGGGGCAGGCCAGAGCAGGGAGCCCCACCCCCCACTGCCCAGCCCCCCCTCCCATCCCCACCCTCTGCTGGAGAGCCCCCCGACTTCTGCGGGGCTCCCCACCGGACAGGGGGAGTCTTCTTATTTGGAGTACAGTCTGTCTCGTTTTAAAGATCTGGAAGCTGACCTGCCCTCCCAGTCTGTCTCGTTTTAAAGATCTGGAAGCTGACCTGCCCTCCCAGTCTGTCTCGCTTTAAATATCTGGAAGCTGACCTGCCCTCCCAGTCTGTCTCGCTTTAAATATCTGGAAGCTGACCTGCCCTCCCAGTCTGTCTCATTTTATATATCTGGAATCTGACCTGCCCTCCCATTCTGTCTTGTTTTAAATATCTGGAAGCCGACCTGCCCTTCCAGTCTGTCTCGTTTTAAAGATCTGGAAGCTGACCTGCCCTCCCAGTCTGTCTGGTTTTAAAGATCTGGAAGCTGACCTGCCCTCCCAGTCTGTCTGGTTTTAAAGATCTGGAAGTTGACCAGCCCTCCCGGTCTGTCTCGTTTTAAAGATCTGGAAGCTGACCTGCCTTCTAGAGCAGGAACGAACACGTTTCCTCCCCTCCTCACGCCACTGTCACACATTTGCTGGGAGCCGACAGTATGTGTGATATGGAGGCCAAAGGCAGGTGCCCAGGGGAAGTGACCCTGGGATTGTCCAGGACCACGCACTCTGGCCTGACGTCAGTGGTGCTGGGCCTGAGAGGTCACAGACCTAAGGCTGGAGAGCCCTGATGGGGCCAGCTCACCTCCCCATGCTCTGGACGACTACAGTCGCCTCAAGTCAGCCTGCGCCAGCCAAGGTCCCCTCTAGAGTCAATCCCATGACCTAGAATGTCCCCAGAAATCATCCAATATCCATCCCTGAGCCAGGACTCCGGGGAGATTTACCAGCCTTCATTCAGTCCAAACCCTCGCCTCCAAACATCATGGATTCTGATTTACTGGGAAAAAACTCTTCTTTTATGTCCCCAGAAATCATCCAATATCCATCCCTGAGCCAGGACTCCGGGGTGATTTACCAGCCTTCATTCAGTCCAAACCCTCGCCTCCAAACATCATGGATTCAGATTTACTGGGAAAAATCTCTTCTTTTATGACAGCAGTAAGTGGCATGTGACAACAAAACACACCCCACATGGGCCACTGTCCTTGGCAGAGGCAGACATTTGTTATTAGAAACAAGTAGACGAAGAGCAAGATGCAATGTGTTTAAACCACTATTTACAAGGTTTTATATTTCACAATTTCTCTCACACACTGAAAACTCTCGGTGAGGGGTTGGGGGAAAGAGAATGAAAAATGAACTCAAAGCATGATATGCATTCCCTGGTGGGAATGGCAATGGAAGTTATAATAAGAAATAATAAAGCTTTCAAACACCCAACAGACAGGCTGCAGAATTTCATCATCCTCTGCAGCAGCCTTGGGGTCTCCAGGGGAAAGGACCTGTGGCTTTCCCATCACAGGCGGCCTCTGCCACACCCAGACCAGCATCCCAGGCTCCACCCGAGAACAGCCCCCACCCACCTGACTGTAAAACATCACATTACTTTTGACTCTGGAAATGCCAGGTGTCCAAAGTCTGATGTTTTGCATAAAAGTGAAGCTTATGATTTAAAAATGTACAGTGACTGACTTTACCATGGATATATCTGTGCTTTCCATGACTACTAAATGACACAGGAAAAAGTTTTAAAACCTTGTCATACTTCCCTTAACCATCAAATGAGGGAATTAAGTGTTTCATAGAAGTTCCAAGTTAACCCTATACTCACTTTTTCATTTTTGTGTTTTAAATTGCGAGTAAGAGCCTTTCCAGTGGACATGGTTGAGCTTCTGTGGCCCTGAGTATACAGAAGCCTTTAGTATTCGGCCTTTAGAGTCACGCGTTGGGATCATCTCTCCCCATCTCTCCCTGTGGAAGCAGAGCTGGGCTGGGCTCTGACCCAAAGGCACATTCCTGGGGTTGGCTGTGTCCCGAGTTCCCCAAGGCTGACTCTTTTTCTAGCCAATTTGCCTCTTGCTGCTGAAAGCAGACCTCGAAATCAAAGCTCCAGTTAATTCAGAGTCCCCACTAATAGGGGTCAGGTGTTTATCACATTGTCCTTATTCTTTCTAATTAGACCATTGAAAAATATTACACCAATGCTGGCTTTCACTAGTTCCAAACAGTCAACAAATGACAGACTCAGGGGCCCTACTTTGCCGCGTGTTTTAAACACAGGAGACTTGCGTAGAAAGTTAAATAAGCAACACTGATGAACATCACTCACAGCCAGCAAAGGCCCCACACACTCTCAGGCTGAGCCACCGACAGTCGGGAAGGGCTTCCCAGATCCGACTCAGCCTGCGGCTCATTGGCACCTTGGGCGAATGCACTTAAAGCCAACAAGCCTGTATCAGCATCTGTTACCTCACAGAAACTGATGGAAATTTATCAAACCAGAACAAACAAAAATAAAGAAAATATTGCAATTTGATGGTAAAGCCAATTCTTCTTCAGAGACGAGCTGCTGAGTCCTAACGCTCACCTTGCACTTTGCTTCAATTATTTTACTCACGTTCCTATCAAACAGCACACAGACTGCGTCCTCAATGTTCAAGGTTCTCTCCAACACGTTTCATGGTAGACTGTTGCCAGCCACACACCTGTGAGCCGCGCGGCCCCCGCCCACCCCAGGCAGCATGTCAGGTACTCACCTTCCGGCTCCCCGCAGAGCGTGCACTGCGACTCTGAAAACAGAGACAGAGAGAAGCTGTTACACCCACAGGGTCTCAACCATGCAGTTAAAAAGATTCAACATCAGCAACAACAAAACTACAACTTTAAGATGACGCCGCTTGACCACACCAGAGCCAGTGGACCCCTCCATAAACAAAGCCAGCTCTGGCCTTGCACGCCAGCAACTTTTACTTCAAAAGCTACCCTTGGCAAATGTTTTACAGATGACATTTTTACTTTTGAGAATTAAAAAAAAAATTTTTTTAATTTTACTAAGTTCTGGGATACATGTGCAGAACGTGCAGCTTACATAGGTATACAGGTGCCATGGTGGTTTGCTGCACCCATCAATCCATCATCCAGGTTTTAAGCCCCGCATGCAATAGGTATTTGTTCTAATGCTCTCCCTCCCCTCTTCCCCCCCACCCACCGACAGGCCCCAGTGTGTGACATTCCCCTCTATGTCCATGTGTTCTCATTGTTCAACTCCCACTTACGAATGAGATCATGTGGTGTTTGGTAGTAACGACCTGTCACATGCACACAGCGAATATACTTTCTTAATTGTATATAGGTGAACAGAAATTACTTAGATGAAATAACAATGGTCTATTTTATCCCAGTTTCAATATTGAAACCTTGACTTCAGCTACAGCTCTGTTACATCTCCTTTCAGGCACAAAAGTTATGAGCAAATCTGTATTATCTTTCAGGAAAACACTAAAATCCATGGGTATTGAGTCCCCTGTATGTAGGTCCCTGAGTGACTATGAACTTGGCTCTGCCTGCAGAATAGACACAAACACTTTGGGAGCACGGCATTTACAGGTGATCCTCACACAAGGAAGCTGTAGCAAGTGCACAGACACACGAGTGCAAGGTCTTCATGGGAAAGAATTCAGACTTGGGGGCCGGGTAGGCCTGGGTTCAAAGCCAGCTTCCATCCACTTTCCTGAGAACATGAGGGCAGGTGACCTAACCCCCAGCCCTGAACTAGTGTCAAGGACCCTGAGCCCACAAGGGTGGGAGAGGGAATGAGCATGTGCGTCAGATATCAAGACTGCAGGGACAGCACTGGCCTGCACGGGCCCTCGGGAGGACACCGGCTCTTCCACGTCAGCGCTGGCCTGCACGGGCCCTCGGGAGGACACCGGCTCTTCCACGCCAGCACTGGCCTGCACGGGCCCTCAGAAAGACACTGGCTCTTCCACGTCAGCTACAGAGGCACACACTCTGCCATCCAGCGTGACAGCCCGGGGCCCACAGAGGAGACGCCACGTAATGCCATCTGGCCTGAACCTTGAAGGACAAGCAGGATGTTAAATAGTAATCTGGGGGAGCGAGCACAGACGTCCCAGGAAAGGCACGGACAAGGTGGACAGGCAGGGGACAGCAGCAGCATCTGCCCAGAAGGATGGGGCGGGGGGGTGGAGGGGCAGGCAGAGAGGTGAGCGGAGGGCGTTCAGGAGGGAGCGGAACATTAAAAAGGGAGTTGAGGTGTTGTTCAAAATAAAAGTTAGGAGGCAACAAGGGATTCTGAGGCAGAGCCTCACAGGCTCTCATGGTTCCTTCGGAAGGTGACCTTGGTGGCTGGGCGGGGCGGGGACGGAGCTCACCTGGGAGCCGTGTGTGTGGCAGGTTGGGCTCTGTGGGTGAGCGGGAGAGGGTTGGTGGAAAGGAAAGAGCATGAATCGTCCTTTAAAACTGTGACTGACAGCTCTACTGAGCTCTCCCGACTTCGGGGAGACAGACCCACACGCCTCGGGGTGGACACATCTGACTGCACCTGCCTTCACGGGCGCCGGTGGAGGGGACGGGAGAGAAGACGTCGGGGCCGCAGGGCAGGACCTGAAGTAGAAGCCATCGGACGCAGGAGCCCTGGGCCCAGGGCCACACTGCTCTGTGTGAAAGGAATGGGGCAGGCCATGGTCCACACACGGGGCTACCTCTATCCCAGCCACCACCATTCACAAGGCCTGTGGAGGGAGGCGGGGCTCCTGTTACCCAGGGGACACGGGGCAGCCAGCTCAGACTCGGGCCATCCCATCGCTGCCATCACTGAAGCAGACCCTCAGGTTTAGTTGACCTGGAAACGCAGGCACCACCCCTTCACAAATTCTGCAGAAAGTGGGGAGAAGGCATCTCACTCGGGAACAGAGGGCCCACAGTCAGTTTCCCCTCAGTTTCCAAGGTGAGACTCCCCACGCGGGCATCTGATTGCAGGAGGCGCGGACATGACTGTGTCCCTGTGCGCACACACAGCACCCGGGCAGGAGAGTACACACGCACAGCACCCGGGCAGGAAAGGACACACACACAGCGCCTGGGCAGGATGAGACGGGCACACACACAGCACCCAGGCAGGAGAGGACACACACACAGCACCCAGGCAGGAGAGGACACGCACAGCACCTGGGCAGGAGAGGACAGACGCACAGCGCCCAGGCAGGATAAGACGGCACACACACAGCACCCAGGCAGGATGAGAGGACACACACACAGCACCCGGGCAGGAGAGGACACACACATGGCACCCAGACAGGATGAGAGGACACACAGACAGCACCCGGGCAGGAGAGGACACACACACAGCACCCAGGCAGGAGAGGACACACACACAGCACCCGGGCAGGAGAGGGCACACACACAGCACCCGGGCATGAGAGGACACACACAGCACCCAGGCAGGATGAGAGGACACACACACAGCACCCAGGCATGAGAGGACACAGAAAGCACCCAGGCAGGAGAGGACACACACACAGCGCCCGGGCAGGAGAAGACACACACACAGCACCCAGGCAGGATGAGAGGACACACACACAGCACCCGGGCAGGAGAGGACACACACACAGCACCCAGGCAGGAGAGGACACACACAGCACCCACGCAGGATGAGAGGGCACACACACAGCACCCAGGCAGGAGAGGACACACACACAGCACCTGGGCAGGAGAAGACACACACATAGCACCCAGGCAGGATGAGAGGACACACACACGGCACCCAGGCAGGAGAGGACACACACACAGCACCTGGGCAGGAGAAGACACACACATAGCACCCAGGCAGGATGAGAGGACACACACACAGCACCCAGGCAGGAGAGGACACACATACAGTGCTCGGGCAGGAGAGGACACACACACAGCTCCCAGGCAGAAGAGGACACACACACAGCTCCCAGGCAGGAGACGACACACACACAGCGCCCGGGCAGGATGAGGACACACACACACAGCACCCAGGCAAGAGAGGACACACATACAGTGCTCAGGCAGGAAAGGACACACACACAGCTCCCAGGCAGGAGAGGACAGACACACAGCTCCCAGGCAGGAGATGACACACACACAGCGCCCGGGCAAGATGAGGACACACACACACAGCACCCAGGCAAGAGAGGACACACATACAGTGCTCGGGCAGGATGAGGACACACACACAGCACCCAGGCAGGAGAGGACACACACACAGCACCCGGGCAGGATGAGAGGGCACACACACAGCACCCAGGCAGGATGAGAGGGCACACACACAGCACCCGGGCAGGATGAGAGGGCACACACACAGCACCCAGGCAGGAGAGGACACACACACAGCACCCGGGCAGGATGAGAGGGCACACACACAGCACCCAGGCAGGATGAGAGGGCACACACACAGCACCCAGGCAGGATGAGAGGGCACACACACAGCACCCGGGCAGGAGAGGACACACACTCAGCGCCCGGGCAGGAGAGGACACACACACAGCACCCAGGCAGGATGAGAGGACACACACACAGCGGCCGGGCAGGATGAGAGGACACACACACAGCGGCCGGGCAGGATGAGAGGACACACACACAGCGGCCGGGCAGGAGAAGACACACACACAGCGCCCAAGCAGGATGAGAGGACACACACACAGCGGCCGGGCAGGATGAGAGGACACACACACAGCACCCGGACAGGATGAGAGGACACACACACAGCACCCGGGCAGGAGAGGGCACACACACAGCACCTGGGCAGGAGAGAGCACAGACACAGCACACGGGCAGGAGAGGCAGGATGAGAGGGCCAGGGAGTGAGGCCCACGGAGGAAAAGTCAGGAGCGGTCTTTGTGGGAGCGCAGTGAACTGCGTGGGCCAGGGAAGCTAAAATCCAAAAGTCAACAACTCTGCACACTCACTCGGCCCCCGAAACCCAAAAGGGATTTTTTCGTCTCATCCTGAGAAGAGCTAAGGCAGGAGGTTCCTGGGAAAGACACCACTGAGTCATACAGACAAAAAACTGCTTTAAATGAGAGCACGAAGCTCTGAAACCCTATTTTGGAATGCAGATGCGAGAAGCCGTCTTAGGCCATAGATCGTGATTTTCCCCAAACAAAAAGTCAGTGCTGCCAATGATCGCGCCCCACGGTAAGTTCATGAGAGCCACTTCCAAACTAGAGGCCCCGAGGAGGCCCACGACATAGAAGCCCATTGCATCTTATTTAATCAAGACGTTCCTAAATGTGACCACTGAGACCTTGGCAGGACACTCAGGAACACGGAGTGAACATGCATGTCAGGAACTGTGGGATCCACTCTGGCCTCCCACGTGGAGGAGACCACGAGGCCTTGATGGACCCATCAGAGGTCACATGATGGGGACAGAGCGGAGTCCTGGATGTGCCCGGGGTTCCCCCAGGGCAGGGGAGACGCCGGCTTCACCATGGTGCCTGTGGGAGGCACTGATTTCAGGGAAGGGAGAGGCAGACTGAGACCTGCAAGGGTGGGATCTGTGACCAGCCCTCAGCGCTGAGCCCACAGGCACACTGGGTTCAACTTGGCCCCCCTGGCCATGGCTGTCCCCACTCAGTGCCCCCAGGAGGGACTGGAAGCCTCACGAGGCGGCTCACTCAGACATGGATCAGAGACTGTGGTTCCGCACCTCTCGTCCAACGCGAACCAAAATATGCGTCAAAACTGACCACAGATTCAGGGCTTTCCCCACAGTTCATCTTCATCACAGGTTACATATGTTTAAAATCACCCAGCAAGCTGAACACACAGCAAGCGTACTCACAGCAGCACGGACCCTTTCAATGAATTCTTCCCCAAGGAACACCCATTAAAAAAGATTCACAATGTAGACAAGACTTAACCTGGATACACTGTGGATTCATCATCATTAGTGCAGAGTCTCACTTAAATTAGGAGAAGACCACACTGATCTGTGCTAATTGACACAGATGGAGAAATCTGTCTGATGGTTTTGTGTACGTGAACCTGAACCCTCACCACACGCAGCCCGCTGAGAACCGGCTCATTCCCCGAGCTCCACACGTGAACAGCAAACGCCCAGCCCAGTGTTTTCTGGCACAAGGTGCCTTATTTTAATCTCCTAGAAAAGAGGAAACTGCAGCATCTCCTGTGTAAATTCATAGAGCATTTTATCTATGGAGGCTACTCTACATTTATGCACATATTTTTGGAGAGGCAGCTTTGAGGTCTGTGAAGCCGAGCGCATGCTATCTCTGGCTTCTGCATGGAGTCGGCCTCCGCAGCACCCGCCCTCCCTCCTGACACCAACCCGGGGAGGGGTGCGCAGTAGCAGCCGATGGAGCCGGGAGATAACGGGGCCCTGGCAGCTCTCCTGGAGCCCCGGGAAGAAAGGGCACACACAGGAACCACCCAGCGGCTGCAGCCCTGCGTGGTGGACACAGCCCGGGGCCTTGGCTGGAGCTCCTCAGGACGAAGCCAAGCTCAGCGTTGCTGGGGATGGGTACCGCTTTCCTGAGGCTGGTTCCAACCCAGCCATGAATGCAAAGAGCATCTGTGCTCCTTCTACAGGAAGCCACGCGGGGACAGGCCCGGGCGTGGGCGGCATTTGCCGTGGGCCGTGCAGTGCAGGCAGCGGAGGGACAGCGGGATGAGGGCTGGTGCTGGGAGGCCTGTGGGGGTGCCTAGATGCGAGGCCCAGCACTGGGCTGCTGTGACAATTGCACTAATTTGTTGCCTCCCCCGTCCTCTGTCCTCCTCTGCCTCCCTCCAGCTGTGACAGTGACTAAGAGACACAGGGAGAAAAACACCAACGTCTTTCCTCTTCCAAGTCTCCGAGCACATGGCAGGATCCTCTGCTCGTCAGGAAAGGCTCCATGTCAGCAGCCACCTGGAGGCACCACATCCGGCCGCGCTTCAACAGGAGCTCTAGATGACATCAGGCCTGCCTGGCCGCCATGGCCACTGCCCAGCCATGACACCCGGCGGCCTCGCTAGCACCTCTCACACAGCACAGAGCACGAAACCATGACTCTTTGTCAAGAATATGTGAATAGGCACTCACTCATGCAAGCAATTGATGTAACACAACTGTGGGACACCATGACCCAGGACATGACTGTGAGACAACACAACACACCACGTGACAACACCACCGTGTAACATGGTGATGACGTGACTGTGACACTGTGACCCAGGACAACGCAACACACGCACGTGACAACACCACAGTGTGAAAAGTGTGGCATGACATGACTGTGACACCGTCACCCAGGACAACACAACACACCCATGTGACAACACCACAGTGTGGCAAGTGTGACATGACATGACTGTGACACCGTGACCCAGGACAACACAACACACCCACATGACAACACCACATTGTGACAAGTGTGACATGACGTGACTGTGACACCACGACCCAGGACAACACAACACACCCATGTGACAACACCACAGTGTGACAAGTGTGACATGACACGACTGTGACACCGTGACCCAGGACAACACAACACACCCGTGTGACAACACCACAGTGTGGCAAGTGTGACATGACATGACTTTGACACCGTGACCCAGGACAACACAACACACCCACACGACAACACAGTGTGACAAGTGTGACATGACATGACTCTGACATTGTGACTCAGGACAACACAACACACCCACGTGACAACACCACAGTGTGACAAGTGTGACATGACATGACTGTGACACCATGACCCAGGACAACATGACTGTGGGAAAACAGGCCCACGTGATAACACAATACTGTGACGTGGGTACAGGACACATGACCCTAAGACAACATGATGCGAGAATATGCAACACGCCTACAGGACATGGCCGTGCAACAGTGCGATGACGTGACGTGACTGTGGGACACCACAACCCTAGGACAAGATGACAACGTGACTGTACGACAATGACTATATGACAACGTGGCCACATGGCTGTATGACATGATGAGCTGACTCCACGATCACATGACTGTATTCCAACATGACCTGACACAGAGGCCAAAAACTCCACTCATCATCAACTGAGTGATGCTTAAATAACTTATACTTCAGCCAGGCACCGTGGCTTGCACGTGTAATCCCAGCACTCTGGGAGGTCGAGGTAGAATCACCAAGGCCTGGGAATTTGAGGCTGCAGTGAGCCAAAATACACCAGTGCACTCCAGCCTGGGGACAGACAGAGACCCTGTCTCAAAAATAAATCAGTAAATACAATTTGTGGATGCTATGGAATCTTATCTGCTCAAATGGAAAACTCCAACATTAAAAAACAGAAAGAGCAAAAGGTAAAACACTATCTCATTTTTATTTTTGGATGTGTATTCTTTAATACTGACTTAATATTCATAGAAAACCTACCTTGTGTCAGGTACTATGCTAGGAGATAGTCATTGATAATATTCTAATAACACTAGTCATGTATATTTATAAATGGTAAGTAAAAGCCCAGGATGACAGTAAATTTTTAGAAGTTAGTTCTCAGGGAGAAATTGTAGTAATGATATTGCTTGTTGCACGGGTTAGGGAAGGCAGACAAGAATACAAAGTAACGTTCTCGTGAACATGGGTTAATTTCTAATTTGAAAACCAATGTTTAAACTGCAGATAGTTGATGTACACAGAAAAAATACACGTAGCAGAAAGTCAACCCCTAAATATTCACCCAGACTTCACCACTGTGCCACGTACCGAGGTCACACAACTGTGCTTGCATCCCTTAAATTTGTACAAATGAAGACAACACAACAAAGCCGCCTAAGGGCACGTTTCTCAGAGCGTCACCCCGTCGTTACCTGGCGCCTGACTGTAATCAGGAAGCAGGCCGACATAAGTGTGCTCCAATGTTAATTAATAAATCGTGTGTAGGACAGTTCCTTCAATTACATAATTGCATTCAAACTCAAGTCTCGTTCCATTTTTTTTAATGAAGTGAAACAACGTGAAGGCAAACCCAGGAGTGACTGGCTTTAATAAAGCAATGAACGGTAGGAACAACCGTGAAAGTCAGATGCACAGACAGGGAGGGAACGCGTCTTCTCTTTGCCTGAAGCTATTGCTTCTGGACCGAGATAATTACCTGCTCAGGATCCTCATGTGAGCGCAACCAAGTTCTCATGGCCAGACGGATGCACGGATGCTCAGCTATCCTCAGAGAAGACATTCATTCACTCCCTTCTTCCTTCAGCGAACATGACTGAACATCTACCACGGTCCTAGTGTTGCTCCACATGCTGGGAGACGGCTGCGATCAACACAGGATGTCTCATTCGGGAGCCCCTGACCCCTGCAGCTGTGGCAGGAGGAAGTGCGCGGTGTGCAGACCCAGGCACTGGAGTTGCTCTGGAGACAAACTGTGAGCTCACAGCTCAGCCTCTCTGCTCGCCATTGTCACGTCCTGAAATGCCATATCTGACTTTGGGGTGTTTCTGGGGAGCAGATTTATCTTCACAGTAAGCTTAGCCTAAGAAAGACTACTGGGCATGGTGGCTCACGCCTGTAATCCCAGCACTGCGGGAGGCCGAGGCAGGCAGATCACAAGGTCAGGAGATCGAGACCAGCCTGACCAACATGGTGAAACCCCATCTCTACTAAAAATACAAAAATTAGCCTGGTATGGCAGCATGCACCTGTAGTCTCAGCTACTCGGGAGGCTGAGGCAGAACAATCACTTGAACCTGGGAGGCAGAGGTTGCAGTGAGCTGAGATCGCACCACTGCACTCCAGCCTGGGTGACAGAGCAAGACTCTCTCTCAAAAAAAAGAAAATAAAGTTAATTAGCTTATTAAAATCTCTAAGGAAAAACAAGGTCTCAGTATTATTCAACCCAAATATGTGCTCACTGCCTAACGGATGTGCACCGAGGGTTAAGAACTAGCTAAAAAATAAATGGCCCACCCCTGAATAATCAATAGTTTATTTTTATATCCTTTTAATCTATGAAACTCAATGCTGCTCATGACTCCAGTCTCACCAGCTCCATGACAGCTGTGTGTGAATAATCAGCTTGTTTATGTCTTTCATTCAGTTCAGGAAAAAGAAGCCCAAAGAAATGAAGTGATTTGCCTGTGGTCAGCCATTCAGTCGTATAAGGAATTATTCTAGTTTCGTTTTTAACAATTTGCAAAATATTTCATCAAGCAAAAGATTGTTCAGTGCAATCTCTTTCCTAGCTTTTTATGAGAACATGAGAAATAGATAAGAGCAGAGAAACAGAAGAAAGTTGTATTTAGGTCTCAGTAGTTAAGAAACACCTGAAGAGATGACATAAGGAACTAGATGGGAAGCACAGTGACAGTGCACTCCACTCATGGGCAAATGAGGGGCCCTGAGACGCTCATGCAGGCTGAGACCTTCCCACGGGACCCACAGAGAGGCCCAGTGGCCCATTTCTGAGTCTGCCATTCTGCTTCTGAAATGTGCTCCCAATGCTAAGAGTTCTGAGCCTGTGGAGTTCTTGCCATTCTCTTCTCTCCAGCAGTAAAGCAGGCAAGGGTAGAGCAGTGCTTTCTCATTAATCCAGCCACCCTCCCAGGGACAGCATGCAGGACACTCGTGTTGAACTCCATTTCTGGTGTTCTCAGCCCCTGTCCCAGCTTAGTCTCTTCAATGTCACAGCAGCATAAAGGGCCTCTCTCCTAAACATGGGATGTCCCCGGGGTCCTGCTCTTACATTGTGGCTGAGCTCAGCCTTCACAGCCTCTCTGAGAAATTCATCCAATGTCAAGTTTTCACCTTCACTTATTTATGCCAAAGGTGTCCTCAAGCTTCAGAAGCATAGAGCCAAATACCTGGTGACCGTGTGCAGGTCCCATCTCCAACACTCCACTGAAAACATCACTTCCCGCAGTCCGGACCCAGAAGCCTCTTCGATTCACCTTTCTCCGCACAGTGAACCTCACCGTCCACTTCCACCTACGGGGCATCCGCCACTCCCTCTCTCCTATGCCCATCCTCTTCCCAGGTGCCCTGAACTCAGCCATTACCCAGGCTGGCACCGCTTCCCACACTGATCTCAAAGGTCTTCCCGGCCACCAACATGGACCATCACTCCCACACTGATCTCAAAGGTCTTCCGAGCCACCGACGTGGACCATCAGACTCACACACTGATCTCAAAGGTCTTCCCGGCCACAGACATGGACCATTACTCCCACACTAATCTCAAAGGTCTTGCCGGCCACCGACGCGGACCATCACTCCACACACTGATCTCAAAGGTCTTCCCGGCCACCGATGTGGACCATCACTCCACACTGATCTCAAAGGTCTTCCCGGCCACAGACATGGGCCATCACTCCCACACTGATCTCAAAGGTCTTGCCAGCCACCAACGTGGACCATCACTTCCACACACTGATCTCAAAGGTCTTGCCGGCCACCGACGTGGACCATCACTCCCACACTGATCTCAAAGGTCTTGCCAGCCACCAACGTGGACCATCACTTCCACACACTGATCTCAAAGGTCTTCCCGGCCACCGACGTGGACCATCACTCCACACTGATCTCAAAGGTCTTCCCGGCCACCGACATGGACCATCACTCCACACTGATCTCAAAGGTCTTCCCGGCCACCGATGTGGGCCATCACTCCCACACTGATCTCAAAGGTCTTGCCGGCCACCGACGTGGGCCATTACTCCCACACTGATCTCAAAGGTCTTCCCGGCCACCAACATGGACCATCACTCCCACACTGATCTCAAAGGTCTTGCCGGCCACCGACGTGGGCCATTACTCCCACACTGATCTCAAAGGTCTTCCCGGCCACCAACATGGACCATCACTCCCACACTGATGTCAAACGTCTTGCTGGCCACCAACGTGGACCATCACTCCACACTGATCTCAAAGGTCTTCCCAGCCACCAACATGGACCATCACTCCCACACTGATCTCAAAGGTCTTGCCGGCCACCGACGTGGACCATTACTCCCACACTGATCTCAAAGGTCTTCCCGGCCACCAACATGGACCATCACTCCCACACTGATCTCAAAGGTCTTGCCGGCCACCGACGTGGGCCATTACTCCCACACTGATCTCAAAGGTCTTCCCGGCCACCAACATGGACCATCACTCCCACACTGATGTCAAAGGTCTTGCTGGCCACCGACGTGGACCATCACTCCACACTGATCTCAAAGGTCTTCCCGGCCACCGATGTGGACCATCTCACTCCCACACTGATCTCAAAGGTCTTCCCGGCCACCAACGTGGACCATCACTCCCACACTGATCTCAAAGGTCTTCCCGGCCACCGACGTGGGCCATCACTCCCACTCTGATCTCAAAGGTCTTGCCGGCCACCGACGTGGACCATCACTCCACACACTGATCTCAAAGGTCTTCCCGGCCACCGATGTGGACCATCACTCCACACTGATCTCAAAGGTCTTCCCAGCCACCGATGTGGACCATCTCACTCCCACACTGATCTCAAAGGTCTTCCCGGCCACCAACGTGGACCATCACTCCCACACTGATCTCAAAGGTCTTCCCGGCCACCGACGTGGGCCATCACTCCCACTCTGATCTCAAAGGTCTTGCCGGCCACCGACGTGGACCATCACTCCACACACTGATCTCAAAGGTCTTCCCGGCCACCGATGTGGACCATCACTCCACACTGATCTCAAAGGTCTTGCCAGCCACCAACGTGGACCATCACTTCCACACTAATCTCAAAGGTGTTCCTGGCCACCGACGTGGACCATCACTCCCACACTGATCTCAAAGGTCTTCCCGGCCACCGACGTGGACCATCACTCCACACTGATCTCAAAGGTCTTGCCGGACACCAACATGGGCCATTACTCCCACAATGATCTCAAAGGTCTTCCCGGCCACCGACGTGGGCCATCACTCCCACTCTGATCTCAAAGGTCTTGCCAGCCACCAATGTGGGCCATCAGACTCACACAAGCATCTGCACGGGTGTCAGGGCATGTCCCTTGCGTGGCGATGCCACACACATCCCCAGTGGTTTATGCTCAACCTCCAGGAGTCCTTCAAGTACAAATCCTTCTAATTCCATCTTCATCGTGTGAAAGCAGGTGCAATTGTCTTCACTAAACTTGGGTGGTAAGTTTAGGATTTCCTAGTAGTATCTTAAGCATTGTGCATCTCAGTAAAAACCCAGTATTTAATTTTTCAACCTGAGGCAGAAGAGCATGATGAATTCCCAAATCCAATGGCTCTGTGCTGCTCCCCTCAGTGAGAGGAGGCTGAGGAGACACACTGAGGAGAAGGTCCCTGTGCTCTCAGCAGCCGCGGATGGCAGGAGGCCCTGGTTGAGGGAAGGATGCCAAGCTGGAGATGGGAAAGCGGTTAGTGCCTCCAAAAGCACCATCGCTTGAAATTCACATTCTTAAACAGAACTGTGAATAGTGGGAAATTTGTTTATATATGTCCAGACTGACTGCAAGTTTCTAGAACTCTACCATTTTGTGGTTGCGTTCTCACCTTAATTTATTACTTTTGTCTGGGCCAATTACCCACATCTTGAATATTAATTTGACCAAGGGCTATGGAGTAATTACAAAGCATTCAGAAGACACCTATGGGAATCCTATTCATGACAAATTTAAGATATTTAGAAACCAAATGGCTTACTCTGTATTAAAATATAGACACTGATAGTACATAAATAGCAGGAACAAATATCAACATGAAATTTGAGTGTAGAAGTAGAAAGAGTTCTTCCTCAATAGATGCATTTCCTAAATGCTGAGGCCTTCCCTGCTTGTCAGGCACAGGAGGCGCCTCTGTCCTCCCCACGGCGGTCATACTGGGACCACCCACCCTTCGTGCTCGACCACACCAGGGTCCCGTGTACCTCCGGGTCTCCATGTGTGCCACTGTGCACAAAGTATGTCTGCCTCTGCCCTTTTTTTCCTGGAAAACTGTTCTTCATTGCTTTTTTAAAAGTGATTTATTCCTAACAGCTTTATTCAGATATCATTCACACACCATATGATTCACCCACTGAAAGTGCACAGCTCAATAGCATACTCACAGAGCTGTGCAGCCATCCCCACAATCAATCACATAACATTTCGTCACTCCAAAAATAAATCCATGCCCTTCGGCAGTTAACCCTCATTTCCGTGCCCCCAGCCCCAGGCCACCACTAATGTACTTTCTATATAGATTTGCCTGTTCTGAACACTGCATATAAATGGAATCCTATCTGTGGTTTTCATGACTGGCTTCTTTCACGTAGAAAATGTTTCTGAGGTTCGTCTGTGTCACAGCATGCATCGGTGCTCCATTCCTTTATTGCTAGAGAAGATTCCATTGCATGGATGGACCACAGCATATTTATCCACCCCTCCGTTTCCGGATACTTGACCTGGGTTGTTTCTATCTTTGAGTATCATGAATAATGCCTCTGTAAGCAATCAGGTATGAGTTTTTTTAGTGGACATATGTTTCATTTCTCTTGGGTATGTACCAAGAAATGGGATTTATGGTCACATGGTAACTCTATGTTTAAACTTCTGAGGAAATGCCTCACTTTCCAAAGTGGCTGCATGATTTTCTATTCCCAAAGGTCGTGTATGAAGGTTCCAGTTTCTCCAGGATCTTGCCAGCACTTACGATTGTCTGTCTCTGCCATTATGGCCATCCTAACACGTGGGCAATGGTGTCTCATTGTATTTTGATTTGCATTTCCTGGCTGGTCAAAGATGTCCAGTGTCTTTCCACACCTTCTGTGGGTGAATTGCCTGTTCATGCCCTCTGCCCATCCCTTTCTCGGCTTGTCTTTTTATGTGCTTTAGGAGTTCTTCTAAATAGAAACCTTTTTTACACATATGCTTTGCAAACATTTTACCTCATTACTTGAGTTTCCTTCTTACTTTATTGATGGTAACCTCTGAAACACACAAAAACTTTATTTTGTTAAAGCTCAACTGGTTTACTTTTTTCTTTTGTTGCTTGTGCTTTGCGCTTTGGGTGTCATCTCTAAGAAACCACTGCTAATCTAAGATCACAAAGATGCACGTCCTTGCGGTTTTATAATTTTATCTCTTGCCTTTAGGTCTTCGACCCATTTTGAGTTAGTGTGGTGTATGGAGCAGGTGGGGCTGGATTTGGGGTGTCTGCCTGTGGGTGTCCAGTTGCCCCAATACCATTTGTAGAAATCCTACTCATTCTTTAGATTTGTTGCAAATATTGACCCTTTGGTGAGGCAGCCTCAAGCCCTCCATCGGGAACTAATTGCCCCTTCCTATGTTTCTATGGCACCTCTTTTACAACACTTTAACCTCATTATAACACAATATTTTGCCTTTCCTCCTCAGGAGCTCATATCCCTATGTTCATACAGCGTTTAACACATGTGCTCAGCCAATAGTGTATGCTTTTGAGAAAAAATGGTCTATGACCTATCAGTCATTCCACAGTTATTTATTAAGCACCTCCACATTGTGACAGAGTCTATGCCGGGCACTAGGGTGCAAAATGAAGCTGTCTAAGGACACAGGTACGTGCACCTACAAATGCACTCTAACCGTATCGCACTCAGAGGCATCGAAGAGCCTCTGGCATGTACAGGAGCCCACACCTGGGAGCATCCGACACTCACCATCCCTATGGTGGAATGCAGAGGCTGAGAGCTGACACCCACCATCCCTACGGTGGAGTGCGGAGACTGGGAGCTGGCACTCACCATCCCTATGGTGGAGTGCAGAGGCTGGGAGCTGGCACTCACCATCCCTATGGTGGAGTGCGGAGGCTGGGAGCTGGAAGGTAGATGAGGACACACAGCAGGGACTTGATCAGTTTCTTTAATAAGAGAACAGATGCTGAGGCACTGGACTTAATCATGTGGATAGTGAGGTTACTCAGGGGCCTGAAGAAAAGGAGTTATATAAGTAAATGTGGACTGAGGAAGGTTTCAATGGTGGCAGGGTGGGTGGCCCACCTGAGAGAAGAGACAGCAGAGGCGAGATGCTCTGTTGTTTGGGACTTGAGGAGGATCAGGGCATGACGGAGGCAGCGGCATGGGCATCGGCAGGCTCCAGCCCCACCGAGTATGGGACATGGGAACCGTGCCATGAATCCTCTTTAGGGAAGAAGAGGGGTCCAAACAAATTAATGTGAGGAAACCAGAACATAAAGAATTTTGTAATATATCGTGAGCGAGAAGAAAAAATAAGAGGAAACGAGAATAACATGAAATGACAACAGAACATAAATAATGCAATGGCCAAGTCCAGAACATCTCTCTGAGGGGCCAAGTCCAGAACATCTGGCCTCAGATGACAGAGGGTGCAGGCCAGGCAGCTGCGCAGGAGGAATGACCGTCGCTCACCAGTGTCTGGGTTTGTAGGTGTATGCATGTGCACCGGCAGCTTTACTGAGGTGCCAAGACCTCGCAGAGCAGAGCTGCACCAGCTCCCGCCTCACCTCTACAGGGCACCAGCCCCTTCCCTTGAGGAGCTAAGCAAACCCCAGGGCAGGGGCCTGCAGGCTCTCTGAAGGCCAGGCGGGTCCTCACTCCCCTGGTGTGTCCACTTAATGTGAGCTCCATGAGCACGCCCTGCCTTTCCCATGCAGTGCTCAGGGTAACCGCCCACAAAGGACAAATATTCAAGCAGTCAGGAAAAACAAAGTAAGGCAACATGGGGACGTGAAAACAAAGGAGGGAGCTGGCAAGTTTGCCTAGGGAAGGTGGTCAGGAATGGCTCCCCAGAGAAGACGATGCTTGGGGTGATATTTGAGTCATCAGAGAAAGTTCTGTCCATCCATCCATCAATCCATCCACTGTCTATCTGTCCATCCATCCGTCAATCCATGGATTCACCTGTCTGTCTGACCATCCACACATCCGTCCATCTGCCCGTCCGTCCACCCATCTATCCGTCGGTCCATCTGTCCATCCATCCGTCCATCCATCTATCTGTCCGTCTATCCATCCATCCGTCTGTCTGACCATCCATCCGTCCATCTGTCCATACATACATCCACCCACCCACCTATGCACTCACTCACTGTGGGTCCCTTACCATTAAGGAGGAGAGGGCATGTTAATCAGGGAATCCTAAGAACAAACATACAAGGTCAACGGCAACAAGTGCCACAGAGGAGTGGTGCAGAGGGCTCAGGCGAGGGTGGGCCTCCTTCTGCACTGGGGGAGCTTCCTTGAGGAAATGTACCTCAGCAGGATTCAAGAGGAAGTGGGCGGGGTTGGTGCAACATTCCAGGGATGGGACATTTCATAAGAAACAAGTGAACAAGGTCCGTGGCCAGGAACGAACAGACGGGCCAAGCCCTTCGCTGCTGACCCCTGGCTGGTGACGTGGGGCCTTGCCCATTCCATGCACTTTCTAGCCATGAGCAGGTAATGGCATAGCTCCTCCAAATCCTCCAGAACCCCGCCCTGCCCCGTCACCTGCATCCTCTCATATGTCTGACAACCAACCCCTTTCCCCCGGCCGCCCCTCTTCCACAAACACATCAGGCCTCTCTCAGGCCCTCAGTTCCCAGAGCTCTGCCAGCAAACTGGATAAACTAATTAGTGTCTTCGTGTTAATTAATGTTCTGTTGTTTATATAAGCTATGGGATTTCTGTTCCTGCCATGGTCCCTTTAGGTAGGTTTATCTACAAACAAATTAAATCCCGTTATACCAAATTATACTGGAATATACGCCAATCATCAAAGCAAGTCTACCTGCGCACCATTCCCTGGAGTTCCCTCAGAGACCATCTCGGGCCATAAAGGAATGTTTCAGTAGAGGCAGTGATCATCATTCATGTACCTTGTCATATTAAAACTTCAAGAACATTTATTAGAAAAGTCATTTTAACAGTGTGACAATTACATTTTTCTCTACAATATCAAGTTGTGAAAATTAACTCATAAGATTTAAGAGTGTCCTGCCGCTGAACTTTAAAATTAAACAAGACCAACCTGAAGGTTTCCAGAATTTATTAGTTTTTTTTTTTCACCACTTACATATGTTTTGCTGGTTAAAATCTAAATTACACACTTGCCCTGAAAAATTAAAATTATACAGTTAATTCAAGTCATTTCCACTGGTTAAAATGGAGTATTTTACAAATGCCTAAGACCAGTGTGGAGTGAAAAGTCTCTAGAAGCTGACTGGCTCCACCCAGGAGAGAACTGGATCAAAGGCCCCCATGGGAAACATGTTCTGCTTCCTCTGTAGGGCTACTACCCGTATAGGCCTCCGAGAGTAACTGCAGTAACGTCAAGGAAGAAATAAATAACGCGTCAGGGTGTGAGAGAGCTCCAGACACAGCACTATGTGAGAGAACTGGACACAGGGCCATGTGACAGAGAACTAGACACGGCGCCATGTGAGAGAACTAGACACGGCGCCATGTGAGACAACTAGACACAGTGCCATGTGAGAGAACTAGACACGGCTCCATGTGAGAGAATGAGACACGGAGCCATGTGAGAGAACTAGACATGGTTCCATGTGACAGAACTAGACACGGCGCCACGTGAGAGAACTAGACACGGCACCACGTGAGAGAACTAGACACGGCGCCATGTGAGAGAACCAGACACGGCGCCATGTGAGAGAACTAGACACGTCACCATGTGAGAGAACCAGACATGGCGCCATGTGAGAGAACCAGACACGATGCTCTGTGTGAGAGAGAACTAGACGTGACGCTATGTGCGAGAGAGAACTAGACACAGCACCATGTGAGAGAACTAGACACGGCGCCATGTAAGAGAACTAGACACAGCGCCATGTGAGAGAACTAGACACGGTGCCATGTGAGAGAACTAGACACGGCGCCATGTGAGAGAAAACTAGACATGGTGCCATGTGAGAGAACTAGACATGGCGCCATGTGACAGAACTAGACACGGTGCCATGTGAGAGAACTAGACATGGTGCCATGTGAGAGAACCAGACACGATGCTCTGTGTGAGACAGAACTAGACATGACGCTATGTGTGAGAGAGAACTAGACACAGCACCATGTGAGAGAACTAGACACGGCGCCATGTAACAGAACTAGACACGGCACCATGTAAGAGAACTAGACACGGCGCCATGTGAGAGAACTAGACACAGTGCCATGTGAGAGAACTAGACACGATACTCTGTGTGAGAGAGAACTAGACATGACACTATGTGTGAGAGAGAACTACACATGGCACCATGTGAGAGGTAACTAGACATGGCGCCATGTGAGAGAACTAGAAACGGCACCATGTGAGATAACTAGACACAGCGCTATGTGAGAGAACTAGACACGGCGCCATGTGAGAGAACTAGACACGATGCTCTGTGTGAGAGAGAACTAGGCAAGACGCTATGTGTGAGAGAGAACTAGACACGGCAACATGTGAGAGAACTAGACACGGTGCCATGTGAGAGAACTAGACATGGCACCATGTGAGAGAACTAGACACGGTGCCATGTGAGAGAGAACTAGACATGACGCTATGTGTGAGAGAGAACTAGACACGGCACCATGTGAGACGTAACTAGACACGGCGCCATGTGAGAGAACTAGACACGGTGCCATGTGAGAGAACTAGACACGGCGCCATGTGAGAGAACTAGACACGATGCTCTGTGTGAGAAAGAACTAGACATGACGCTATGTGTGAGAGAGAACTAGACACGGCACCATGTGAGAGGTAACTAGACACGGCGCCATGTGAGAGAACTAGACACGGCACCATGTGATAGGTAACTAGACACGGCGCCATGTGAGAGAACCAGACACGGTGCCATGTGAGAGAACTAGACACGGCACCATGTGAGAGAACTAGACACGATGCTCTGTGTGAGACAGAACTAGACATGACGCTATGTGTGAGAGAGATCTAGACATAGCACCATGTGAGAGAGAACTAGACACGGCGCCATGTGAGAGAACTAGACACGGCACCACGTGAGAGAACTAGACACGGCGCCATGTGAGAGAACTAGACACGGCGCCATGTGAGAGAACTAGAAGAGAGAACTAGACACGGCACCATGTGAGACGTAACTAGACACGGCGCCATGTGAGAGAACTAGACACGGTGCCATGTGAGAGAACTAGACACGGCGCCATGTGAGAGAACTAGACACGATGCTCTGTGTGAGAAAGAACTAGACATGACGCTATGTGTGAGAGAGAACTAGACACGGCACCATGTGAGAGGTAACTAGACACGGCACCATGTGAGAGAACTAGACACGGCACCATGTGATAGGTAACTAGACACGGCGCCATGTGAGAGAACCAGACATGGTGCCATGTGAGAGAACTAGACACGGCACCATGTGAGAGAACTAGACACAATGCTCTGTGTGAGACAGAACTAGACATGACGCTATGTGTGAGAGAGATCTAGACATAGCACCATGTGAGAGAGAACTAGACACGGCGCCATGTGAGAGAACTAGACACGGCACCACGTGAGAGAACTAGACACGGCGCCATGTGAGAGAACTAGACACGGCGCCATGTGAGAGAACTAGACACGGCCCCATGTGAGACAGAACTAGGCACGGTGCCATGTGAGAGAACTAGACACGGCGCCATGTGACAGAACTAGACATGGTGCCATGTGAGAGAACTAGACACGATGCTCTGTGTGAGACAGAACTAGACATGACGCTATGTGTGAGAGAGAACTAGACACGGCACCATGTGAGAGGTAACTAGACATGGCGCCATGTGAGAGAACTAGACACGGCACCATGTGAGAGAACTAGACATGGCGCCATGTTAGAGAACTAGACACGATGCACTGTGTGAGACAGAACTAGACATGACGCTATGTGTGAGAGAGAACTAGACAAGGCACCACGTGAGAGGTAACTAGACACGGCGCCATGTGAGAGAACTAGACATGGCGCCATGTGAGAGAACTAGACACGGCGCCATGTGGCAGAGAACTAGACACGGTGCCATGTGAGAGAACTAGACACGGTGCCATGTGACAGAACTAGACACGGTGCCATGTTAGAGAACTAGACACGATGCACTGTGTGAGACAGAACTAGACATGACGCTATGTGTGAGAGAGAACTAGACACGGCACCATGTGAGAGAACTAGACACGGCGCCATGTGAGAGAACTAGACATGGCGCCATGTGAGAGAACTAGACATGATGCTCTGTGTGAGAGAGAACTAGACATGACGCTATGTGTGAGAGAGAACTAGACACGGCACCATGTGAGAGGTAACTAGACATGGCGCCATGTGAGAGAACTAGACACGGCACCATGTGATAGGTAACTAGACACGGCGCCATGGGAGAGAACTAGACACGGCGCCATGTGAGAGAACCAGACACGGCGCCATGTGAGAGAACTAGACACGGCGCCATGTGAGAGAAGCAGACATGGTGCCATGTGAGAGAACTAGACACGGCGCCATGTGAGAGAACTAGAAACGGCACCATGTGAGATAACTAGACATGGCGCCATGTGAGAGAACTAGACACGGCGCCATGTGAGAGAACTAGACACGATGCTCTGTGTGAGAGAGAACTAGACAAGACGCTATGTGTGAGAGAGAACTAGACACGGCAACATGTGAGAGAACTAGACACGGCACCATGTGAGAGAACTAGACATGGCACCATGTGAGAGAACTAGACATGGTGCCATGTGAGAGAGAACTAGACATGATGCTCTGTGTGAGAGAGAACTAGACATGACGCTACGTGTGAGAGAGAAGTAGACACGGCACCATGTGAGAGAACTAGACATGGTGCCATGTGAGAGAACTAGACATGATGCTCTGTGTGAGAGAGAACTAGACATGACGCTATGTGTGATAGAGAACTAGACACGGCAACATGTGAGAGGGAACTAGACACGACGCCATGTGTGAGGGAACTAGACACAATGCCACGTGAGAGAGAACGAGACACAACGCCATGTGTGAGGGAACTAGACACGACGCCACGTGTGAGATAACTAGACACGGCGCCATGTGAGAGAGAACTAGACACGATGCCACGTGTGAGGGAACTAGACACGACGCCATGTGAGAGAGAACTAGACACGACGCCATGTGTGAGAGAACTAGACATGCCATGTGTGAGAGAACTAGACATGACGCCATGTGTGAGGGAAGCAGACATGGCGCCATGTGTGAGAGAACTAGACACGACGCCATGTGAGAGGGAACTAGACACGATGCCATGTGAGAGAACTAGACATGGCGCCATGTGAGAGAGAATTAGACACAATGCTATGCGTGAGAGAACTAGACACAGTGGCATGTGAGAGAGAAGCAGACACAATGCTTTGTGTGCGAGAGAACTAGATATGGCGCCACGTGAGAGGGAGCTCCTAGACACAGCGCTGTGACAGTTAAGTGTTGAACAGTCCGGGTATCACTCCTGACGTGACGCCGTGAACTCACTCACTTGAGGGCACATGAAAGGCCCCAGTTGCGCAAGGCAGAGGCAGCTTGATCCTAACCACCTATGAGTTCCCAGAAAGGGTGTGACGTGCAACAGAATCACTGTCAGTCCAAAGTCAAGCTCGTGGGACATAATTTTAAGCCTCGTTCTCGATCTGTTCCAGAGACGGGATTATTTTAGAGCTGAAACCATCTAGAACAGCCTGTGCCTCCACAAAATTCAAATGTGAAGTCCTCACCTGCAGGACCTCAGAATGTGACCTTAGTTTAGAAATAGGGTCATTGTTGCTGTAAATGGTTAAGGAGAGGTCACCCTAATCCTGGGGAGACAGGCCCTGATTCAGTATTACTAGTGTCCTTATGAAAAGCTGACACTGGAATCAGACCCACAGGGAGTGTCATGTGAGGATCGGGGTGATGCCACCACAGCCAAGGAATGGCCAGGAATTAGGAGAGATGCCTAGAACACGTACTTCCCTCACAGGCTCAGAAGAAAGCAGCCTGCAGACACCCTGATTTCAGACCCGTGGCCTCCAGAGCGGTGAGACGTGCATTCCTGTGCTGGTTCCACTCAGGGTTGTGCCACTGGTTACAGAAGTCCCAGCAGACAGGTGCACCACCTACGACAACAGCCGCACAGGACTTTCCGCTTTCGAAGGAGGACAGGAGAAGCCTTTGAAACTTAATTCCTCTTTATAGCAACAGGCTACAATGCTGAAGAACTTCTCTTTGGCACTTTATCTCTTTAAAAATGTTAGGTATTCACTTGGGCCTTTCAATAGTGCCATTAGCAGTCACCAACAGATCAGTCACCATGAAGCCCTCCCAGTGCAGGCCTATTGACCACCTGGTCAAACCCCGTCCTAGGACACCTTAAGTCCTTTTGTGTCATTAATACCATTACAATTATTATCCTCCATATACATCCGTGTGACACTATCATGTGTAGAGGACAGTGGTTTAGCTTACGGATTAAAATAACTCTTTCCAAGACTTCTATATTTAGGTACATTTTATATTTTCAAGTAGGGAGTACAGCTCCCAGTGAGACCCTGATGTCCTAAATACTTACAGCCCTGCGTGTTTCCCAGAAAGTCAACTGACATGTGCTCAACACACTCTTAGGCACTGAGATCATCTATCAGTAACTAAAAACACAAACAAAGCTTAGCAAGTCTTGCCCATTGGACCCAGAGCTGGGCAGCTCCGAGACTGAGTTCCATCTTCGCCCCTTGCATCAGGTCCCCTTGAGTGGCCTCTGAAATCCTTCCAGGCCTCTCACATCACAGGGCTCCAGCTGCGGTCTGCATCCCAACCTTCCCTGCGCTCTGCGATTAGCCCCGTTAGCCAACCATTCAGGCCCGTGGTAGGCAGGACGTTTGCAATAATTACTAAGACAGGCACGCCCTTGCTCCCAGGAGGTTACAGCTGAGTCTTCTGCTATTGAATTAAAGGCTTCTTAGAGCACAGGCCAGGCCTGACTCATCTCTGTAAATATATCACGTGGCAAATATTCAGTGAAAGGTAGGGGAATGCATCCAGGATGCCCACACAAATGTTCACAGCAGCCTCTCATTCATCATAGCCAAGAGGCAGAAACAACTCAAATGTCCAATGAGTGACAAACAGATAAATACAATGGGGTATATCCAAACAATGGAATGTCATTTGCTCATTAAAAGCATGGAGGGAGTGTCTATTAGGCGCTGGCACTGCTACCACATGGATGAAACTTGAACACGTGGTGCTAAGTGGAAGAAACCAGGCACAAAATTCCGCCAATGCCAGATGGTTCTATTCCTATGAAATGTTCAGCATAGCAAGTTCATAGAGACAGGAAGTAGACTGGGGACTTCCTAGGGCTGGGCAGGCGGTGGGCCTAGAATGGGAGTGGTTACTAATGATGATAAAATATTCTAAAATTAGATTATGGCGACGGCTGCACAACCGTGCAAACACACTAAAAGCCACTGGCTCGCACACTTCAAAAAGCTAAACCTTGCGATACGTTTACTACACTTCAATAAAGTTACTCAAAAAAGTTAGTGGAAGAAATGAATGTGTGAATGAGTGAGTGGCCTCAGACAAGTCACTGAACATGCACCTTGTCTTGTGTTGAGAGGGAGGGTGCCTACTTTACAGAGATTTTGCAAGGAGAAATGAAATGCCTACATGAAAGCATCTTGTGGATTCCACACTCAACAAATACAAACATCAGCCAATGTAAAGGATAAGTCGTTCCCAAACAGCCACAGCCCCCATCACCACATTGAGCCTCAGCCCAGCACAGTGATGCAAGAGGAAAGGAGTTGACGTGAGGTTCGAGACGGAGGAGGCATCCTCCCCTCATCACAGCCTGCACCTGACCCTGGTAGTCACTACCATGAGGGTGCTGGAGAAAGGGATGGGGCAGAGACCTGGAATGATGAGGACAGAGGACTGCTCATGTTGGCCCCAAAAAGTGGGCTCTTCACAGCCTGTGGGGCCAGAGGAAGACACCCCCACTCAGGTCCAAACAGCAAAGCCAAGCCGGGAAAACCCACTCCTCAGCACGGGGTCCTTTTGCGTTGTGGGCCAGCTTCTGCTGGCTGATGACCCCGGCAAGTGTGCAAAGTGACAGTTTGTTCTCCAGCTGCCCCAAAGGCTCAGCACCACCCAGTCGTGAAGGGGACAGTGCTGGATGAGAGCTCCTCAAATAACCATCCCAGGCCCTTCTTCAAATTAAAGTTAAAAAGGAATTCAAAATATTGGTTCACTACTTGTGTGGTACTTTCAGATTCCCACAGCAATTTTTCTTTTGGCTACTGGCATTTATTATTTTATTTTGAAGATTTACATTTTTTAATTTTTTCAACTTTGATTTTACATTCAGGGGTACATGTGCAGGTTTGTTACCTGGGTCTATTGTAGGATGCTGAGATTTGGGGGTATGACTGAACTTGTCACCCAGCTACAGAGTATAGTACCCAGTAGTTTTCCAACACTTCCTCCCGCCCTTCCTTCCTCCTCTAGCGGCCCCCAGGGTCTACTGTTGCCATCATTATATCCATACTTCCAAATGAGAACATTCACTATTTGATTTTCTGTTCCTGTGTTAGTTCTTTTAGTATAATGACCTTCTGCATCCACATTGCTGCAAAGAACACGATTTCATTCTTTTTATGGCTATGCAGTATCCCACGGTGTACACAGCCATTTTCTTTATCCAGTCCACCTGTGTTGCATGCCTAGGCTGATTTCCTCTCTTTGCTATCGTGAGTAGTGCTGCAATGAATAGGTGAGTGCATGTGTCTTTTCAATAGCACAATTTTGTTTTCTTTTGGATACATAGCCAGTAATGGGATTGCTGGGTCAAACAGTAGTTCTAAATTCTTTGAGAAATCTCCAAACTGCTTTCCACTATGGCTGAACTAATTTACATTCCCACAAACAGGATATAAGCATTCCCTTTTCTCTGCACCCTCACCAGCATCTGTTGTTTTTCGACTTTTTAATAATAGTCATTCTGACTGGCGTGAGATGGTATCTCATTGTGGTTTGATTTACATTTCTATAACAATTAGAGATATGGAGCATTTTTTCGTGGGTTTTTTGACTACATGTATGTCTTTAGAGAAATGTCTGTTTATGTCTTTTGTCCAATTTTAATGGGGCTATTTGTTTTTTGCTTGTTCAACTGTTAAGTTTCTTATAGATTCTGTGTATTAGACCATAGCTTGCAAATATTTTCTCCCATTCTGTAGGCTGTTTACTCTGTTGATAGTTTCTCTTGCTATGCAGAAGCTCTTTAACTTAATTAGGTCCCACTTGTCAATTTATGTTTTTGTTGCAGTTGCTTTCAAGGACTTAAGTCATAAATCCTTTCCCAAGGCTGATGTCCAGAATGGTGTTTCCTATTTTTTTTCTTAGGATTCTTGAAGTTTGAGGTCTTACATTTAAATTTGTAATTCATCTTGAGTTAATTTTTGCATATGCTGAAAGGCAGGAATCCAGTTTCATTCTTTGCATAAGGCTAGCCAGTTATGCTAATAACATTTATTGAATAAGAAGCCCTTTCCCCATTGCTTATTTTTGTCAACTTTGTCAAAGATTAGATGACTTTAGCTGTATGGGTTCATTTCTGGGTTGTATATTCTGTTCTGTTGGTTTATGTGTCTGTTTTTGTACCAGTGCCATGCTATTTGGTTACTGTAGGTTTATAGTACAGTTTGAAGTCAGGTAACATGATGCCTCTGGCTTTGTTCTTTTTGCATAGGATTGCTTTGGCTATTCGAGCTTTTTGGTTCTACATGAATTTTAGAATAGTTTTTTTCTAGTTCTGTGAAAAATGACTTTGGTAGTTTGATAGGAATAGCATTGAATCTGTAGATCGCTTTGGGCAGTACAGCCATTTTAACAATATTGATTCCTCCAGTCCATCATCATGGAATGTTTTTGGTTGCTTGTGCCATCTATGATTTATTGTAGCAGTGTTTTATAGTTCTCCTTGTAGATATCTTTCACTTCGAGTTAGATGTATTACTAGGTATTTTATTCTTTTTGTAGCTATTAAGAATAGGATAGGGTTCTTGATTTGGCTCTCAGTTTGAACTTCACTGGTTTCTAGAAATGCTACTGATTTTTGTACACTGATTTTGTATGCTGAAATTTTACTGAAATTTTCTTTATCAGTTCCAGGAGCCCTTTGGCAGAGTCTTTGGGGTTTTGCAGGTATAGAATCATATCATCTGTGAAGACAAATAGTTTGACTTCCTGTTTTATTATTTGGATGTCTTTTACTACGTTTTCTGGCCTGATTGTTCTGGCCAGCACTATGTTGAATAGGAGTGGTGAGAGTGGGCATCCTTGTCTTGTTCCAGTTCTCAAGGGGAATGCTTCCAGCTTGTGTCTATTCAGTATTAATGTTGGCTGTGGGTTTGTCATAGGTGGCACTTATTATTTTGAGGTATGTTCCTTTGATGCCTAGTTTCTGGAGGGTTTTTATCATGAAAGGGTGTTGGATTTTATCTAAAGCTTTCCCCAAATGTACTCAGATGAACGTATGGTTTTTGTTTGTAATTCTGTTTATGTGGTGAACTGCATTTATTGATTTGTGTGCACTGAACCAACCTTGCATCCCAAGAATGAAGCCTACTTGATTGTGGTGAATTAACTTGTTGATGTGCTGTTGGTTTTATTAGTATTTTGTTAAGAATGTTTGCATCTGTGTTCATCAATAAGCACAATCAGAAATGACAAAGGTCACATTACACCTAATCCCACAGAAAAAACAAAAGATCCTCAGAGACTATTATGAAACCTCTACACACACAAACTAGAAAATCTAGAGGAAGTAGATAAATCCCTGGAAATACATAATCTTGCCAGATTGAATCAGCAAGAAATACAAACCCTAAACAGATCATTATCAAGTTCCAAAACTGAATCGGTAATAAAAATCCAACTTAAAAAAGCTTCAGAACAGATGGATTCATACTTGAATTCCACCAGACGTACAAAAAGGAGCTGATTCCGATTCTAAAACTATTCCAAAAAAAAAAAAATCAAGGTAGAAGAACTCCTCTTTCTATGAAACCAGCATCACCTTGATACTAAAACCTTCTTTAATTTTCTCAATATTTCAATATTTTATAGTTTTCAGAGTATAAGTTTTATAACATCTTGGTCATTTTTGTATTGTACATTGGCAGTATACATGCATGCAATTGAGTTTCGTATGCTGATTTTGTATCCTACAATCTTGCTGAATTCAGTTATTATTTCTAATAATTTGTTAGGAAATTTCTAAATATTTTCTATACAACTTTATGTTACTTGCAAATAGATATTGTTTTGCTTCTTCCTTTCCAATAGGAATGCTTTTTCTTTTTTCTCATCTGCTTTTCCTGCCTAGAACCTCCAGTACAATGTTGAATAGAAGTAGTGACAGCCAAGATCTTTGTCTTGCTCCCGGTCACTGAGGCAAAATTTTCAGTCCTTAACCATTACGTATGGTGTTAACTATAGGTTGTTCGTATATGTTATTTTAAGATGGAGGATTTCTCTTCTATTTCCAGTTTGTTGAGTGTTATGAAGAGGTGTTGAATTTTGTCAAATACTTCTTCTGCACCTATTGAGTTGATGTCATTTTCCCCTTTTTATTCTATTAATATGTTGCATTGCATTAATTGATTTGCAGATGTCAAAACAAACTTGAAATCCTGGAAAAAATCTAGTTGGGTATGTTCTATGTTGCTGGATTCAATTTGCTAGTTATTTTGTGGAGGATTTTTATATCTATATTCATAAGAGGCACTGGTTTGTAGTTTCTTATGATGTCATTGTATGGTTTTAGTATCAGACAAATATCGGCTTCATAGAATGAGTTGGGGACTCCCTCCAACTTCTGATTTTGAAAGAGCATATGTAAGATTGTTATTAATTTATCCTTTAAATGTTTGGCAGAATTCACCAGTGAGACCATCTGAACCTGGATTTCCTTTGGCATAGTTAGCTTGATTATTAATTCAATCTCTTTCCATGTTATAGATCTTTTCAGATTTCCTTTTTTTAAAGTTTTATTTATGTATTTTTTTATTTTTATTTTATTATACTTTAAGTTCTAGGGTACATGTGCACAACGTGCAGGTTACATATGTATACATGTGTCATGTTGGTGTGCTGCACCCATTAACTCATCATTTACATTAGGTATATCTCCTAGTGCTATCCCTCCCCCATTCCCCCACCCCACAACAGGCCCCAGTGTGTGATGTTCCCCTTCCTGTGTCCAAGTGTTATTGTGTATATTTAAGGTATATAACATGTCATAACATGCATATAAATAGTAAAACGGTTACTATAGTAAAGCAAAATAACATATCCATCATCTCACATAGTTACCCATTTTGTGTGTGCATAGCAAGAGCAGCTAAGACGTACTAATTTAGCAATAAATAATTCCAAATACAGTTCAATTTTATTAGCTATAATTCTCCTGTTGTATGATAGATCTCCAGACTTGTTCATCTTATCTGCTCCTTTGTACCCTCTCACCTACATTTCTCCTTTTCCTCTCTCTACCCCATCCCTGATAACTAGTTTTATCTCTTTATATAATTCCACATATAAGTGACATCATGTAATATTTTTCTTCCTGTGTCTGCCTTATTTCATTTAGCATAACGGCCTCCAGGTCCATCCGCATTGTCACAGATGGCAATGCTTGAGAATTGCTTGAACCTGGGAGGTGGAGTTTGCAGTGAGCCAGGATTGCGCCACTGCACTCCAGTCTGGGCGACAGAGCAGAACTCCATCAAAAAAAAAAAAGAAAAGAAAAGAAGCAAATCTCAACTGTAGGCTGCCTGCAAGAGATTCATCTCACATGTGAAGACAGCCATAGGCTCAAAGTAAATGTACGGAGAAAGATCTATCAATCAAATGGAAAACAAACAAGTGGAAGAGTTGCTATTCTTATTTCAGAAAAAAAAAATAAAAACAGACTTTAAACCAACAATGATCGAAAAGGAGAAAAAGAAAGGCATTACATAAGGATCTTATTTTTATAAGGCTGAATAATATCCCATTCTGTGTGTGTGTATAAAACAAATATATATATAACACTCTTAAAAATGAATGGATAATATATATCTATACTATATATATATATATATATATATATATATATATATATATATCTCACAGTTTCCTTACCCATTCATTTGTTGAAGGACACTCAGGTCATTTCTGTATCTCGGCTATTGTGAAATACGCTGCAATGAACAGGTGAACAGGGAGTGCAGATATATTTCCGAGGTGGTGATTTTGTTCCCTTTGGGTACAATCAGAAGACAGGTTGCAGGGTCATAGGGTAATTCTATTTTTACTTTCCTTAGGAACGTCGATACTGTTTTCCATAATTGTTGCACAAATCTACTTTCCTGCCGAAGTGTGGGGGTTCCCTTTTCTCTGCACTAACATTTGTTATCTCCTCTCTCTTTTCATAGCTATGCTATTTGGTGGGCATGAGGTGGTATCTCAGTGATTTTGATTTGCATTTCCCTGAGGATTACTGATGTTTACTGAGGATTACACAAACGTTCAACAGTTGTGTGAAAAGCGCTCAACATCACTAATCCTCAGGGAAATGCAAATCAAAACCATGTTGGTCATTTTTATATCATCTTCTGAGAATATCTACTCAGGTCCTTTGCCCATATTTCATTTATTTTTTCAGTTCCAGGATACATGTACACGACATTCAGGTTTGTTACATAGGGAAATGTGTGCCATGGTGGTTTGCTGCACCCATCAACCTTGGTATTAAGCCCCACATGCATTAGCTATTTATCCTGATGCTCTCCCTCCCCCTTGCCCCCTGACAGGCCCCTGTGTGTGTTGTTCTCCTCCCTCCTGTGTCCATACGTTCTCATTGTTCAGCTCCCACTTATAAGTGAGAACATGTAGTGTTTTGTTTTCTTTTCCTGTGTTAGTTTGCTGAGGATAATGGCTTCCAGCTTCATCTATGCGCCTGCAAAGGACATGGTCCCATTCCTTTTCATGGCTGCATAGTATTCCATGGTGCACCGCATTTTTTTTATCCAGTCTATCATTGATGGACATTTGCGTTGATTCTGTGTCTTTGCTCTTGTGAACAGTGCTTCACTGAACATACGTGCGCATGCATCTTTATAACAGAATGCCCATGGTTTAAACTGAGCTATTTATTTTTCTGCTATTTAATTATATAAGTTCTTTATAAATTTTGGATATTACCCCCTTATTAGATATATGACTCAGCAATTCCTCTTCCATATATACCATATATATGCATATATACCTATGAGAAATGAAATCACCACCTTGTAAAAATATCTTTCTAAAATATTAAAAATGAAAAGGAAAAATTATATATATATTTACAGCATACAGCATGATGTTTTGATATATGCATACATTACGGAATGGCTAAATCAAGCTGCTTAAACTTTTTTGTGGTGTGAACTGAAAATTTACTCCTTAGCAATTTTGATTTATACAATATATTATAAACTGCATTCACCACAATACACAATAGATGTCTTGAACTTAGTCCTTCAGTCTAACTGAGATGTTCTGTCCTTGGACCAAGAGCTCCCCAGTATTTCTTCTTATTTTTGGTAGTATGTACCTAGTAGAAATTTGTTCATTTCACCTAAGATACCAAATTTATTGGCTTAAAAGTGTTCATGATACTTGCATATGATTTTAATTTTTAAAGCTGAGGTATAATTAAAAACATAAAATTAACCATTTTGACGGGATCCATGTAGTGGCATTTAATACATTCACGTGTTGTTCAACCAGCTCTGTCCAGTTTCAAGACGTTTTTCATCAGTCCAAAAGGAAACCCCACCCTAGTAAGTGACCGTTCCCCATTCTCCTCTCTGTTCTGCCGCTGGCAATTACCTCGGTGTTCTGTATCTGTGGATTTACCAGTTATGGATATTTCATTGATGTGAAATCACAGAATATGTGACATTTTTTGTCTGGCTTCTTTCACTGAGCATAAGGTTTCTGAGGTCCTTCCTCCGCTGTAACATCTACCAATCCCTCACTCGTGTTCATAACTGAGAAATGTTCCGTTGTCTGTACATATGGCATGTGCTTATCCATCCACCCCTGTGGACATCCAGGTGGTTCCCCTTCGGCTATCATGCAAGCACTGCTGTGAGCATGGAAGCTCCCGCACTGGTTTGGGCACCTATTTCCAGCTCTTTTGGGCACACAGGCAGGATGGCATTCTTTTCCATTTTAAGTTTTTGTGGATAGTGAAAACTTAAACTCTTTTCCACAATGGCTAAATAACTTTACATTTCCAACAGCAACATATGAGGATTTCAGTTTGTCCATATCCTTGCTGACTCTTGTCACTTTGCTTCCAATTAATTTTGTCACCAACAGCCATCCTAGCAGATGTGGGGGAGCAGTTCACTGCGGTTTTGACTCGCATCTCCCCAGGGACTCATAGTTTTAAGCATCTTATCACGTGCTTGTTGACCATTTGTATATCTTCCTTGGAGAATGTCCATCCAGTCCCCTTGCTCATTTTAAAATTAGGCTTTTGTGTTGTTGAATTTTAACAGTTCTTCAACTATTATAGACACTATAATTCATTTTATTCTTGTAAGGTTAGTAGTAATCTCTCTTTTCATTCTGGATTTTAGTAATTTGAGTCATCTCTTTTTTTCTCCTTATGAGTTAATAAAAGGCTTAACAATTTTGTTGAGTTTTTCAAATAATAAAGTTACAGTTTCATTGATTTTTTTCTATCATTTTTTGTATTCTATATTTTATTAATTTCTGGTCTACTCTTTCACACAATAGTTTTGAGATGAAATAAACACCTGAATGTGAAAGTACCTTTAAAAATGAACTTGTACATAAATATGTATTAATTCAATAATTATTTAAGATGCTTTCTATCTGCCAAGCAGGCTCTGTTCTTGGTGCTTGGGATATGACAGTGAAAATTTTTCCTACTTGACGGTAGTTACAAATACGCATGTCAATTATGTCTCTTATATGAGAGAACTGTGCCTTACTCATCCTGATATTCCCTCTTCCTGACCCACATTAAATGTGCCACGAATGCCAGGTAAATGCTAAAATAAGAGATATTTTCATTATCTGTCATTTTCTTGCAATTCCTCTTAGACAATGGCTCCTTTGAGAGGAGAAAACCTATCTTAATCATCCATGTGGTTTAAATTCTGTCTGCCACGATGCCACAAACATATTGTACGCTCAAAGAATATCGTTTTGATTCATTGCTTAACTTGAATCTGCCTTCATATTAATCCACATCAAGGGGAAACAATGAGAAGTCAAAATTAATAAGGTAAAATAATTAAGGTTGAGAAGATATCCTTATTGTTTTTAACAACAAGGAGTATGTCTTCTGTTTTTCTCCATCTCACACATTGTTTGCTAGAGAACAGAACATATAGATGCTCAATAAATATACACATATAGAGCATATGGGTGCTTAATAAATCTCTGCCTACTATTCAATTGTTTTTATCCTTGAGATTCCGACAGGTTGATTATCCCACTTCCCTTAGGGAAAACCAAACAGTCATCACAGAACCCTCCATAATGGCTGCAGGGGCCCACAGTGGCAGACAAGTCTTGCTCTTCCCTTTCAGAAATCTTGCTGTGGGAACACAAATCAGTGCGTATGTCTCTAGTGTTTAAGGCACTTACAATTTTTAATGTCATATTTTTAAAAAAGAGAAAGTGAAGATCAACAACCCTGGTCAAACCATTCTTTCAAGCAGCCCTTCTTATACAATGATATTTTTCTTTAATATTTTAAACTTTTAGTCATCTTGTAGAAGAAAGAGAAATGTCATCCACCCACTAATTGTTTCAAAGTACTTCTTCTCCCCACCCTGAACAGTAGTCACTCTTTAAAAAATGCAGCACCGCGGAGAAGAGCCAAGATGGCTGGCTCCATGCACACGGGAAGCGCTTCTCACAGAGACCAGCCCATGGCATAGACCTGCACACTGTGAACAGATCCTTGGAAAAAAGGCTTTCAAAGTGGACAGTGAGGACACAGATCCCTGGCTGAAAGGGGAGGAAGGTGGGAACCCTGGACAGGGTTGCTGGGCACCAGGACTTGTTATTGGCCTTGAGTGACTCCTAGGGGAGGACTAAGGGAAACAGGCATGGAGTGGCCCACTCTTCACATGGATCTCCCCGATCCCACCTATGGGAGACTCAATGACCCCCACAGACCTCTGAGCTGGCAGGGAGAAGTGCCCAAGGAGTTGGCAGACAGAACTCCAGAAGATTTGGTGTGGGAACGGCTGCAGTGGAGCTCAGCCATGGGCACCCGTCCCCCAAGGCTTGCCACACTCCTCTAGGTGGCTTTAGGCTTTGTTAGCTGTGGGACCAGGAGAGAGCACGGCTGGCCGGCTCCTGGGATGCAGCCAGTCTGATCTGAACGCCCCTCTGACTGCTGGCCTCTCCTGGGCTCCCCGCCTGGATGCACCCACTTGCAGCACAGCAACAGCTGCCAAGGCTCTCATCAGTGGCCACAGCCCCAGCCCTCTCACCAGCAGAGCCCGTCTGACCATCAGAGCACTTCTGCAGATAAACCCAACCAGTGCACACCCACCCACAGCTTTCCCCTGCCAGCATGCACCCACCAGCAGCCTCCCCCCACCGTGTACACCCACCTGCAGCCTTCCCCCGCCAGCATGCACCTACCTGTAGCCTCCCCCTGCTATCTTGCCAGCACATACATGCACGTGCACTTACGTACTTACCATCACTCTGCAAGAGCACTTTGGCTAGCAGCCCCCACTGGAGTGTCGTTACCAGTGGACTGAGAACACCTTGGCCCCTCCAGCACAGCAGGTACTTAAACTTGAGGGGCCAGAGAACAAAGCCATGGGACTGGTCCTAGCCCCCCAGGGTTAGAGCATGCAGCCCCTGGGTGCTGAGCTGAGCCTTTATCCCTTGAAATCTTCCAGAAATAAAGTGAACTGACTGAGCCCAGCTTATACCACAGTCAAACTCGCAAGGGCATCAAAGAATATAAAATCAAAAAGCCCCATCCAAAAGATAGCGATGTCAAAGATTAAAGTAACATCAGCCCACACAGATGAGAAAGAACCAGCACAACAACTCTGGTAACTCTAAAAGCCAGCGTGTCTTCTTACAACCAAATGACTGCTCTAGCTCCCCGGCAATGTTTCTTCACCAGATTGAAATGGCTGAAACAACAGACATGGAATTCAGAATCTGGATGGCACAGAAGCTCAAGATTCAGAATGAGGTTGAAACCTAATCCAAGGAAAACAGTAAAATGGTCCAACAGTTGAACGACAACAATTTTCAGACAGAACCAAACAGAACTGGAAATAAAAAATTCACCACAGGAATTTCGGAATGCAATTAGAAGCATTAATAACAGAATAGACCAAGCTGAGGAAAGAATCTCTGAGCTCAAAGACCACTCCTTCAATTCAATACAGGCACACAAAAATAAAGGAAGAAAAGCACTTAAAAATGAAGAAAACCTCTGAGAAATATGTGAGAATGTAAAGAGAGCAAACCTATGACTCGCTAACATTGCTGAAAGAGGTGGAGTGACAGCAAGCAACTCGGAAAATATATTTGAGAATGCTGTCCATGAAAATTTCCTCAACATTGCCAGAGAGGTTGATATGAAAATTCAGGAAATTCAGAGAACCCCTGAGAGATAATATACAAGACGACAATCCCCAGGACACATAGTCATCAGGTTCTCCAAAGTCAGCATGAAAAAAAAATGCTAAATGCAGCTAGAGAGGAGGCAGGTCATGTACCAAGGGAACCCCATCAGGCTAACAGTGGACCTTTCAGCAGACATCTTACAAGCCAGAAGAGATTAAGAAACTATATTCAGCATCCGTAAAGAAAAGAAATTCCAACCAAGAATTTTACATGCAGCCAAACTATGCTTCATAAGTAAAGGAGAAAAATAAATCCTTTTCAGACAAACAAATGCTAAGATAATTCATTAGCACCAGACCTGCCTTCGAAGAGGTCCTAAAGGGACTGGTAGACATGGACATGAAAGACCCTTATCTGCCACCACAAAAACACACATAAGTACATAGTCCACTGACACTAAAAAACAACTATATAACCGAGTATACATAACGATCAGCTAACAACATGACATAATTGAATCTTCACATACCAATATTAACCTTCAATATAAACAGGCTAAACACCCCCAGTTAAAAGGCAAAGAGTGGAAAGCTGAAGAAACAAGCAAGACTCAACTGTACGCTGTCTTCAAGAGACTCATCTCACATGTGAAGACACCCATAGGCTCAAAGTAAATGTATGGAGAAAGATCTATCAAGCAAATGGAAAACAAACAAGAGGAAGAGCTGCTATTCTTATTTCAGAAAAAAAGACTTTAAACCAACAATGATCAAAAAGGACAAAAAAAGGCATTACATAATGATAAAAGGTTCAATTCAACAAGAAGGCTTAACAAAACTAAATATATAGGCACCCAATGCTAGAGTACCCAGATTCATAAAAGAATTTCTCAGAGGCCTATGAAAAGACTTTGATAACCACACAGTAATAGTGGGAGATTTTAACATCTCACTGACAGTGTTACACAGATAATTGAGGTAGAAAACTAACAAAGATATTTGGGACCTAAACTTCACACTTGACCAAATAGACCTAATAGATATCTACAGAATACTCTCCCCAACAACAACAGAATATATAGTCTCATCTCCACACGGCACATATTCTAAGATTGATAACATCCTTGGCCATACAGCCATTCTCAACAAATTGAAATAAACCCAAATCATACCAAGCACACTCTTGGACCACAGCACAATAAAAACAGAGATCAACACCAAGAACATTGCTCAAAATCATACAATATCATGGAAATTAAACAGCCTCCTCTTGAATTACTTTTGGGTAAAGAATGAAGGTAGAAATCCAAACATTATTTGAAACTAATGAAAACAAATATACAACATGCCACAATCTTTGGGTCACAGGTAAAGCAGTGTTAAGAGGAAAGTTTCTAGCACTAAATGATTACATCAAGAAGTTAGAAAGATTTCAAATTAATAAGCTAACACCACACCTAAAGAAACTAGAAAACCAAGAGCAAACCTAACCCAAAGGTAGAAGAAAACAAATTGCCTAAATCAGAACTGAACTGAACAAAATTCAGACACAAAAATCCATTCAAAACATCAACAAAACCATAAGTTGGTTTTTTTGAAAGAAGAAATAATACTGATAGACCACTAGCTAGATTAAGTTTAAACAGAGAGAAGATCCAAATAAACACAATCAGAAATGACAAAGGGGATATTACTGTTGATTCCACAGAAATACAAAAAGCTCCCAGAGACTATTACTAACACCACTATGCACACAAACTAAAAAACCTAGAAAAAAAAAGAATAAATTCCAGGAAGCATACCATCTCCCAAGATTGAACCAGGAAGAAACTGAAATCCTGAACAGACCAATAATGAGTTCTAAAATTGATTCTGTAATAAGCTACCAACAAGAAAAAGCCCTGGGACATACGGATTCACAGCCAAATTCTACCAGACATAAAAGAAAGAGCTGGTACAAAACCAACAAAACTATTCCAAAAAATCAAGGAGGAGGGACTTCTCCCTAACTCATTCTATGAGGTCAGCATCATTCTGATACCAAAACCTGGCAGAGATACAAAGAAAAAAGAAAACTTGTGCTAAGTATCCTGATAAACATAGACACAAAAATCCTCAGCAAAATCCTAACAAATCAAATCCAGCAGCATATTAAAATGCTAATCCACCACGGTCAGGCAGGCAATATTTATCCCTGGATGGAAGTTTGGTTTAACAAACATAAATAAATGTGATTCATCACATAATCATAACTAAAAATAAAAACTACATGATCATCTTAATAGATGCAGAAAAGGCTTTCGATAGAATTCAACATCCTTTCATGTTAAAAACCCTCACAAACTAGTCATCAGAGGAACTTATCTCAAAATAAGAGCCATCTATGACAAAACCACAGCCAACATCATATTGAATGGGTAAAAGCTGGAGGCATTTCCCTTGAGAACCAGAACAAAACAAGAATGCCCTCTCACACTACTTCTATTCAACATAGTACTGGAAGTCCTTGCCAGAGCAGTCAGGCAAGAGAAACAAATAGAAAGCATTCAGATAGAAAGAGAAGAAGTCAAACTACCTGTCTTTAGACTATATGATTCTATACCTAGAAAACCCCGCAGTTTCTGCCCAAAGGCTCCTAAAACTGATAAACTTCAGTAAAGTCTCAGGATATAAACTCAGTGTACAAAAATTAATAGCATTTCTATTCACCAATAACATCCAAGCTGAGAACCCAATCCAGACCACAACCCCATTCACAATAGTCACAAAATGAATAAAATTCCTAGGAATACAGCTAACCAGGTGGTGAAAGATCTCTGCAATGAGAATTACAAAATTCTGAAAGATATTAGAGATGAAACAAGTGAATGGAAAAACATTCCAAGCTCATAGTTATGAAGAATCAATATTGTAAAATGGCCATACTAATCAAAGCAATTTACAGATTCAATGCTATTCCTATCAAACTACCAACATGATTTTCCATATAATTAGAACTATTCTAAAATATATATTGAAACAAAAAAGAGCCTGAATAGCCACAAAAGTCCAAAGCAAAAAGAGCAAAGGTGGAGGCATCACATTACTCAACTTCAAACTATACTATAAAACTACAATAACCAAAACAACATGGTACGGGTAAAAAAAAACAAAACTAAACAGAATAAAACAACAACAACAACAACAACAAAACCCAGACACATAGACCAATGGAACGGGATAGAGAACCCCCAAATAAAGCGGCACACCTACAACCAACTGATCTTTGACAAAGTTGACAATAACAAGCAACTGGAGAATGGATTTGCTATTCAATAAACGGTGCTGGAATAGCTGGCTACCCATATGCAGAAGATTGAAACTGGGCCACTTCCTTTTACCATATACAATAATTAACTCAAGATGGATCAAAGCCTTAAAGGCAAAACCTAAAACTATAAAAAATCTGGAAGAGAACCTAGAAAATACCATTCTGAACATAGTGTTGGCAAACATTTTATGTTGCCTCTGAAAGCAATTTCTACAAAAACAAAAATTGACAAGTGGGACCTAATTAAAGAGCTTCTGCATAGAAAAAGAAACTATCAACAGAGCAAACAGACAACTTATAGAATGGGAGAAAATATCTGCAAATCTACCCTTCTGACAAAGGTCTAATACCTAGCATCAACAAAGAACTTAAATCAACAAGCAAAAAACAACCCCATTAAAAAATGGGCAAAGGACATGGACACTTCTCAAAAGAAGACATACATGCAAGCAACAAGCATATTTTAAAAATCCTAAACATCACTACTCATTATAGAAATGCATATCAAAATCACAATGAGATACCCTCTCACACCAGTCAGAATGGCTATTATTAATAGCAGATGTTGTCAAGGTTGCAGAGAAAAGATAACGCTTAATTTATATTCCCACTACTGGTGGGAATATAAATTAGTTCAGCCACTGTGAACTAATTTAAAATTCCTTGGAATATAGCTAACCAGGGAGGTTAAAATTCCTAGGAATACAGCTAACCAGGGAGGTGAAAGGTCTCTACAATGAGAATTACAAAACTGCTAAAGGAAATCAGAGATGAAACAAGCAAATGGGAAAACAGTCCAAGCAGTTTAGAGATTTCTCAAAGAACTAAAACTAGAACTACCATTTGATCCAGTAATCCAATTACTGGGTATATACCCAATAGAATATAAATCATTCTACCAAAAGACACATGCACTCCCCTATGTTCATCACAGAACTATTCACAATAGCAAAGACATGGAATCAACATAGTGGCCAGCAATGATGAACTAGGTACAGAAAATGTGGTGCATATGCATGATGGAATACTGTGCAGCCATAAAAAAACAAGATCATATCCTTTGCAGGAACATGGAGGCAGCTAGAGGCCATTATCCTAAGCAAACTAACACAGAGACAGAAAACTAAATACTCCATGTTCTCCCTGATAATTGAGAGCTAAACACTGAGAATTCATGAGCACAAAGAGGGGAGCAACAGATACTGGGGCCTATTTGAGGGTGAAGGGTGGGAGGAGGGAGAGTGTTGAAAAACCACCTATCGGGTACTATGCTCACTACCTGGGTGATGAAATTTTTTGTACACCATACCCCAGCTAGGCAATTTATCCATGTAACAAACCTGTCCATGCACCCCAAACCTAAGGTAAAAGTTGAAGGAAAAACCAAGCAGCAACATCATCCTTGCCAGGTCTCACTGTAAATGAGAAACAGTACCTGTGTGGGGATTAAACACCTCATATTTACCTTGATTTGTAAATTACTTTCCCCCAACTAAGACAGAAAAGAACTCATTCCCTGATTAGGTTACTACTGTTCACTTCATAACAGATTCAGAAAAATCTGAGATTTTTGGTGGGGGAAGAGAGGATGATGTATGAACAGTTATGAGAGAGAAAGGGAGGGCTAGGTAATATGAGATCGTATAGTGCAGTTTAAGGCAAAAACTAGATAAATACTTATTGGCGGTTAAAAATCAATTGAGGGCAGGATCTGGTAGCTCATGCCTGTAATCTCAGCACTTTGAGGGGCTGAGGTGGGAGGATTGCTTGAGCTCAGGAGGTTCAAGTCCAGCCTGGGCAACATAGTGAGACAATCTGTAAAAAAATTGAAAAAAAAAATTAGCCAGGCATGGTGGCACATACGTGGGAGGTTGAAGAGGGAGGATCTCCTGAGCCCAGGAGTTCAAGGCTAGAGTGAGCCAAGATTGAGCCACTGCACTCCAGCCTGGGCAACAGAGTGAGACCCTGCCCCTTACAAAAAAACAATTAGGACAGAGCCTGAGTCCCTGAAGTACGGACATGCCTTCCTGGATATCAGAGCCCCTGTTTGAAGTTGACTGAGCTGTCTGTAGTTACCACTCAATGTCTAGAGTAATTGAGACCTCAGTTCACGTGAGACCTGAAGACCCCAATGTGACATGGTTAAGCGCAGCTATTAGTCCCCTGCAGATGTGTGCAAACATGCGAACACACACTCCCCTGTCTAGACACACCCTTTACAACTGAGAAAACAGAACCTCCTTTCACAAATTAGAAGTAATTCAAACTTGGAGCCAACCAATGCACAGATGCACCAGAAAGCTCCTCCCAAGCACTGCATGAGCCTAGACGTCTCCAGGTGATGTGCCTAATGAACCCATCGAGGTACCTGGACGTCTCCAGGTGATGCACCCAAATGAACCCATCCAGGTACCTGGACGTCTCCAGGTAATGCACCCAAATGAACCCATGGAGGTACCTGGACGTCTCCAGGTGATGCACCCAAATGAACCCATCCAGGTACCTGGACGTCTCCAGGTGATGCACCGAAATGAACCCATATAGGTACCTGGACGTCTCCAGGTGATGCACCCAAATGAACCCATCCAGGTACCTGGACGTCTCCAGGTGATGCACCCAAATGAACCCATCCAGGTACCTGGACGTCTCCAGGTGATGCACCCAAATGAACCCATCCAGGTACCTGGACGTCTCCAGGTGATGCACCCAAATGAACCCATCCAGGTACCTGGACGTCTCCAGGTGATGCACCCAAATGAACCCATCCAGGTACCTGGACGTCTCCAGGTGATGCACCCAAATGAACCCATCCAGGTACCTGGACGTCTCCAGGTGATGCACCCAAATGAACCCATCCAGGTACCTGGACGTCTCCAGGTGATGCACCCAAATGAACCCATCCAGGTACCTGGACGTCTCCAGGTGATGCACCCTAATGAACCCATCAGGGTACCACTCTCAACCTGCACGATTAGCTTTAGATCTCAGCTCTCAACCAGCCTCAGCTATCAGCCTCGCATGATCATGCTCAGAAGGTGCTGACATGTCAAGAAGACAATTAGTAACACATTATTTTAATTTGACTTTCTCTTCTCCTACTCACAAATTCTTTATCTTCATTCCCAATTTGATATTTGGGATTTCGTTTACCTTTCCAAAAATGAGACACTCCATTAATGACTTTTGTCAATTCTCCCCCTTTTGTACCATATTTTTGTTAGTGCCCCAAAGTTCCTCACTTGACGACCTTTACTGTTTCCTGCATGGATGACGTTGATTTTCCCTTTTGTGTTCTTATACTATTTCCATGAGACTTAGACACAGAAGTGGGCAGTGAGATACAAGAGCACAGAGTGCTCTCCCGAAACGAGATTGCACTGCATTTTTAAACGCATGTTCTAGTGTGTTTCAGCCAGAGGAGGGAAGCAACTGCCCCAATTAACTTCAGGTTATGGCCACAAATGTGGAAAACACAACAACAGCAACAGATGGCTTGGCTTTAATTCATTAAAGAATGTTATGTGGAAGTCAAGGCTAATTAGAAAATCTTGATAGTAACAATAGAAAATATTTATGCATTCATTCACTCTACATAGACTTAAGGCACACCTGCTGTGTCTGTGCGAAGAACTAGGTGCAGTGCACAGAATGAAAGGCGCCGTCCTTGTTAAAAAGGACCTCAGAGCCTAACTGAAAACAGACAATAGGGAAGAAGCAGACACATGATCAATTAATTGAAAGAGGCCACAGGATAAATGAGGAGGAGGCCGTGTGAGAAGGTTACTCCACTCCTGGGATCTGACTTCCGGGTTAGGGTATTACCTTGGCCACTGCCCTCTGTTTCAGCATCTCCTACGTAAAGTGGTGGTAATACTCATAGCTGATATTTAAAACCACCAAACAGCCCTGCTTGCTACCTGCAGTCCCAATCTACGAGATGCCCTTCTGTCATCAGCAATGGCACCTCTTCCCCCTGGAAAGCACCCTGGGCTGCTCACGGAAAAACGATCACCTGAGTGGCGGGGCCGCAGGTAGTGAGCTTTTGTCCTGGAGCTGTGGTGTCCTACTCCCAGTTCCACCTGGGTTGGTTGGGAGAGGACTTGCTGAGGAGGGGCATTTAAAATGAGACTTGAAGAATAAAAGACACCTGCTGGGTGGCAGTTCTGGGAGGCCTGGCAGGGAATGAGGTGTGGAGGGAAGGGGGCTGGGAGAAAGTGTGGTAAGACGCAAGGCCCCCTGGGGAGGGTTCCAGGCCTGGGAGGAGCCTGGCAACCACATGGAGGTGAGGACAGGCGGCTGTGGACAAGGGAGGCACAGAGACCACAGCCGGGTCTCTGAATGGATGCTAGGGCAGAGGCGGCCTCTGAAGGCTGGAGATGGGGAAATTACACCGTCAACCTCAGCTCACTGTGGAAAAGGAACTGGGCCAGCAAAAGGAGTGAGGACCCGAGTGATGGGGCGGAGTCTGCCATGTGCTCATCTTCTAGGCAAGCAGGGATCACCCAGACCAGGTCAGGAGGCAGCGGTGGCTGAGCACAATGGCCATGGGAGCCACTGGAAAGATGGATGCTGGTGTCCAGAAAGCACTTCATGGAAAGCCCTTGGTCCCCGACATCCTGATGGGAGAGGGCCCTTGGATATTAGAGAAGATGTGATTCCTGCACCATTTAACCTGGATCAGAGCCCAGAGAAAGACGGGAAGCTCCCTAAGGAATGCATGAACGCTGCTTACCCCTGCTATCCATATCTGAGGAAGATGCCGCAGAAAACCTACCCAGCAATCTTAGGAATACAGGTGGAAATCCCTCACTAAAACACGGGTGATATAAAGTCAGGAATATTTAACATTATAATGTGAGCAATATGGTGAGTACTCTGGGACATTAAGGACATTAAGGATGATGTAATATTAGGAAATCAATATTTATTGCCATAAATTAATAGAGACATACTGGATTATCATTGCAATACACAGTGGAAAGGCATTTGATGAAATTTAATTTCAAAACTCGATCAAAACTTTTAGTAAAATCAAACAAATGTGGGCCTCCTCAGTTTCTTAAACGATCAACATCCTGAAGCCTGTTGTTGACTTGCAGATTTAATCCCAGGAAAGCCACAGACAAGACTGTGAGTATGACACCCGCAAAACAGCTAATAACATCCCGCACACAGCAAGGAAATCATGACGTGACTTGAGGATGATGTGATTCTCTTTCTAGGAAAACCTGGAGATCTTTGAGACAGTGAACAGTTTGCTAAGATGCTGGATACTCACCGTTCTGTGGCCTCCCAAATTCTCATCATGAGACAAATTACAGAATTTAACAAGAAAATCTCTGCCGTAAGAGCAACAATGGCATATAATAAATAGAATAAACCTCATAAGAAATGTTTCTGATCTATATGAAGAGCACTAAAATTTTCCAACGTTTATAAATGAAGAGTTGTATAAACTAAGAGATATGTGATGTTTTTGAGAAGATGAGTACATATACATGTCATTCTTATTCAGAAACATGAATTTAAGAACATTAATCCAATTAAAATGCTAATCATGGGGGGTGGGCGGGGGGGAAGAGAGAGAGAGAGAGGTCTTGGCAAAAAGGTACTGGAAAAATAAAGATATAAGAAGGTTTCTTAATCACTCCCAGGGTGAGGTCATTTGCTGGCAACAGTCCTCCAAAACCCAGATATAAGTCACTTCCTCCAGGCAGCCTTCCTTGATGACCACGTCTGCCTCCTCATTCTAGACTGCAGTTTGTTAATACGTCTCTCTCTCCACTACACTGCCAAGTGTGTGGACACTGAGATTTCATCTATCTCATCTCTTTATGGACAGTGCTCCATGGCTCATAAATGTCTGGTTCATACTAACTAGACATCAAATAGATCTCTACCAAATGAACGGTTTTTAAAAGCTCAAAGGATGGCATCATCTGTGCCATAACCTGGAGTTCTCTTAATGCTCCATGGGTCTCAGCCTGAGAGGAAGGAGGACCTCTGGAGACGGAGCAAACCTTCCTAATGTTTTCTTCCCTTAGAACTGAAAGCAGCTCCAAGTCCAATCCCTTCTTTCCCTGGTGAGATTCCAGGTATCCGAAGGATGAGACAACCTGCGTGTCTTTGAAAGATTGAAAGATCATGAACATGAGGCTCTTGGGAATGTGGGGATTTTGCCCTTTTCTTGTGATTTCATTTCTTTTTCTGCACATTCGATATTCTCTGAGTCACTGCACATCCCCAGGTTTAAATGTTTTCATTTGTTCATAAAATAATTGTGTGCCCACTCTGCTCTAGGCTTTAGCGCTGTGAATCAGGTGAAGGACCAAGAACCAAGAGCCTTGTGTTTCCACAGCGCCAGTCAGACCTGCATCCTGACAATGGTGGCCTGGAGCACGAGGAGCACTGAAAGCGATGGAAGCAAATTATTATTTTTATTTTTTTATTTTATTTTATTTTTTGAGACGAAGTCTCGCTCTGTCATCCAGGCTGGAGTGCAATGGCACGATATCGGCTCACTGCAACCTCCACCTCCCGGGTTCAAGCAATTCTCCTGCCTCAGCCTCCTGAGTAGCTGGGATTACAGGCATGGGCTACCACGCCTGGCTAATTTTGTATTTTTAGTAGAGACAGGGTTTCTCCATGTTGGTCAGGCTGGTCTCGAACTCCCGACCTCAGGTGATCCACCCACCTTGGCCTCCCAAAGTGCTGGGATTACAGGCGTGTGCCACTGTGCCTGGACACAAATCAGTATTGATTAATGGATACGGTGATGTGGTGGCAACACCTCACATAAGCTGTTTACATGTTTACAAACAGAAAATTTAAATACAATGAGAGTACTTTATATCATTGTTGGGAAATTTTTAATGAATTCTGGATTTAATTGAAACTCCAACAGCTCCACGTTAAAAAGCGAAATCCTTTTTGCTGCACCCAAAGTTGTTTTTCTGTGCATCTATCTGATGGAAAAACAAGATCGTTGGCTGGTGGTGTTCATTACCCCTGCAAAAGCCCTCACAGGCTCCACTGATTAGACCCACTTTTAACAACGTCCCCACGGCCACCCTGTGTTTGCCATCAAGGAAGGTGGATTTTACTTGGGAAATGAACAGAAGTGATGGGGAGGATCCGCAGGTCGGTGGCCCCTGAGAATGTTGTGCTGAACGCAGCCTGTTCACATGAGATCATGTTGCAAAACCACGGAACATTGTTCAAAATAAGCTTGGAAACGTCCTCAAACCACAGCTCATCCTCACTTGATCTCCACATGCCCAAGGCTGGCGGAAGAGCCGAGCCTGCCAGGTCCTCCCTGGTGTGGGCTGTCTGTCCTTTAAAGACAGCCGCAGCCTCGCTGGACGTTGGGGAGGATCTGTCCTTGAACCTAATGGAAAATGGCATTGATTGCTGGGCAGAAGGGCAGCGTCCTGGGAGGGACATTGCTGCCCAGACTGGCAGAGGATCTGGGAGGGAGGGGGAACTACAGGGGAGTGACCTTACAAAGTGTCCCACATGGGAAAACCGACCACATGGGGCCCAGGGGAGCTGTGGAAGGGACCCAGGATCCACGTGCCCTGCAGGGGTGCTGCCATTGGAACCAGGGCCGGGGGTGGGGGGTCAGTTATGCCAGTTTCCCTTCTTTGGCCTCAAGTGGCCCCAGACTCACTTCTAAAATATTCCCAAGGCAGTAGCCATGGCAAGAGGGAACTAGGCCCCAGAGGGAGCCCCTCCATGCCATACCCCACCTGCCAGAGAAACTTCTCTGTACACTCCCCACTCAGTGGGCCTGTGCTGTGCTTGCTGGGGGCATTCTACGTTTCAGCAGAGCTGAGCTGCCTGCCCGCCTCAGGGCTTGAGCCCCTCTCCTTCCCCCCACACACTCCTGCTGCTCTTGAATGAACATGGAAACTCTTTAACAGGGTCAGCCCTCAAGACATCTCAAGTTCCCCTGCTGCAGGCTGCATCCAGTTTCTTAAAACACTGCACTGGTTTCATCTGGCCCTGGACACATGCCCTTCCAGACAACCAAACCTCCCTGTCATCAGCTGAATCCCTGCCATGCTTCCAACATCACCCTGCCCTAAGCCAGCCTCTCCAGGAAGGTCACCTGAGCCCTGGACGGATGGGACCCTTGTCACATGCCCAGCAGAGCCCACTCCACAGAGCCTGGCCTGGAACCTGGGGGGTGACGTGTAAATCTGGCCACCACTAAACACCAATCAAGGCCCAGCACCCACCCTACCTGGGATTAAGTCAATCACAGGCTCTTAGGCTCAGGGGTTGTAAGACACTGGGGCGAGGTGGATGACTGAGCACCATGACTGACACTGAATCCTGGAGATTATGAAACTGGCAAATTATTTGAGTTGCTAAAAAGATAAAATTTCTCCAGTTGAAAGTGGTCAAGCACCGCTGATGACACGCCGTTTCTCAGGGAGGGAGGTGGGATTACGAGGGGGTAGGACATGCCTGGGCGTTCTGAGTGGCTTCTGTGGAAGAGTCCTAATATCTCAGTGAGCTGTGACAACTTAGGATACAGACAAGTCAGACCATCACAGTTGTGCAAAATAAGCTCACTTATGACTAATTCCTGGAAAAACACCTTTAAATGTTTTCCTTTGATTATAAAAATTACTCATTAATAACACGTTCAGACATTCTAAGAGTGCTTGGAATAGGAGGTTACTCTCATGACATCACCTAAGACTAATTACCTCCCTAAAACCCCATCTCCAAATACCATCACATTGGGAGTTTGGGCTTCAACATAGGAATTTATTAGAGTAGTATAGAAACGGATTAATTGTATTTATGAAAATGATTCACTCAAGAAACATTGACAGAACAGCTGATGCCCACCATGGGACCAGCACAGATCTAGGACTACATATGCAATGATATATCACAAATCTGATTGTCTTTTTGGAATTTAAAATGTAGGGAAGGAAAAAGCTAATAAACAAATAAACGAACCCATAAAGAAAAATTACACTCTATTTCTGGGTCCTCTATTCTGTTCCATTGCTCTACATGCCTATTTTTATGCCAGTACCATGCTGTTTTGGTGATTATAGCCTTATAGTATAGTTTGAAGTTGGGTAATGTGATGCCTCCAGATTCGTTCTTTTTGCTTAGTCTTGCTTTGGCTATGCAGGCTCTTTTTTGGTTCCATATGAATTTTAGGATTGTTTTTTCTACTTCTGTGAAGAATGATGATGGTATTTTGATAGGAATGATATTGAATTTATCCATTGTGTTTGGCAGTATGGTCATTTTAACAATATTAATTCTACCCATCCATGAGCATGAGATGTGTTACCATTTGTTTGTGTCATCTATGATTTCTTTCATCAGTGTTTTACAGTTTTCCTTGTAGAGGTGTAGAGGTTTTTCACATCCTTGGTTAGGTATATTCCTAAGCATTTTATTTATTTATTTATTTATTTATTTATTTATTTATTTATTTATTTTTGCAGCTATTATTGTAAAGGGGTGGAGTTCTTGATCTGATTCTCAGCTCCGTCACTATTGTTCTATAGGAGTGCTACTAATTTGTGTACATTGATTTTGTGTCCTGAAACTTTACTGAATTCATTTATCAGATCTAGGTTTTCTAAGTATAAAATCATATCATCAGTGAACTGCAACAGTTTGACTTCCTTTTTACCAATTTGGATGCCCTTAATTTCTTTCTCTTGTCTGATTGCTCTGGCTAGGACTTCTAGTACTATGTTGAACAGAAGTGGTAAAAGTGGGCATCCTTGTCTTGTTCCAGTTCTCAGGAAAAATGCTTTCAACTTTTCCCTGTTCAGTATAATGTTGGCTGTTAGTGTGTCATAGATGACTTTTATAAACTTAAAGTATGTCCCTTCTATGCCAATTCTGCTGAGGGTTTTAATCATAAAGTGATGCTGGATTTTCTCAAATGCTTTTTCTGCAACTGTTGAGATGATCATGTGATTTTACAGCCAACTGATCTTTAACAAACCAAACAAAAACATAAGCGGGGAAAGGACACCCTATTCAACAAATGGTCCTGGGATAATCGGCAAGCCACATATAGAAGAATGAAACTGGATCCTCATCTCTCACCTTATACAAGAATCAACCCAAGATGGATCAAAGACTTACAGCTAAGACCTGAAACCCTAAATATTCTAGAAGATGGCATTGGAAAAACCCTTCTAGACATTGGCTTAGGCAAATACTTCATGAGCAAGAACCCAAAAGCAAATTCAACAAAAGCAAAGATAAACAGAAGAGACTTAAACTAAAAAGCTTCTGCACAGCAAAAGAAATAATCAGCAGAGTAAACAGACAACCCACCGAGTGGGAGAAAATCTTCAAAAACTATGCATGTGACAAAGGACTCATATCCAGAATCTTCAAGGAACTCAAACCAGCAAGAAATAAAAACAAATAATCCCATCAAAAAGTGGGCCAGGGACAGGAATAGGCAAATCTCAAAAGAAGATACAAAAATGGCCAACAAACATATGGAAAAAATGCTCAACATCATTAATTATCAAGGACGTGCAAATAAAAAAACCACAGTGTGACACCACCTCACTCCTGCAACAATGATCATAATTAAAAAATAAAAAAATAGATGTTGGCATGAATGTGGTAAACAGGGAACACTTCTACACTGCTGGTGGGAATGTAAACTAGTACAACCACTACGGAAAACAGTGTGGAGACTCCTTAAAGAACTAAAAGTAGATCTACTGTTTGACCCAGCAATCCCACTCGTGAGTATCTGCCCAGAAGAAAAGGCTCATTATACGAAAAAGATCCTTGCACATGCATGTGTATTCACAATTGCAAAAACACAGAACCAGCCCAAATGCCTATCAACTAATGAGTAAAAAAAGAAAATGTGGTATATATATACCATGGAATACTACTCAGCCAAAAAAAGGAACAAAATAATGGCATTTGCGGCAGCCTGGATGGAGTTGGAGACCATTATTCAAAGTGAAGTAACACAAGAATGGAAAACCAAACATTGTATGTGCTCACTTACAAGTGGGAGCTAAGCTATGTGGATGCAACGGCGTAAGAATGACACAATGGACTTTGGGGACTCGGGGAAGGATGGGAAGGGGTGGAGGATAAAAGACTACACGTTGGGTACAGTGTACATGGCTTGCGTGCACTAAAATCTCAGAAATCACCACTCAGTCACTTATCCATATAACCAAACACCACCTGTTCCCCAAAAATCTATTGAAATAAAAAAGGAAGAATTGCAGATTTAGGTAACACTGTGAAGGACACATCTAGGAATGGAGAGGGTGAAACCTGGGTGAGCTCTGTGTGTGGTGGGGACAGGAGGAGCCTCTCTGGGAGGGTGGGCAGGAAGTTTCACCGAGACGGTGTCCACTCAGCACTGAGATGGATGACAAGGAACACTTGTGGATGGAGACGGGGCCGGGGGCAGACCGGGGACAGGGATGGATCGTGAGAAGGCTGACATAGGAAAACCTTGCTGTGTCAGCGACAGAAGAGGGGCCCGTGGAGCCTTAGCCTGCAGGTGCAGACAAAGAATGGTAGCAGCGATGGCAGAGAGGTAGGCAGGGCCCGGAAGACCAGTTCTCCAGGACGCAGCTAAGGACTGTGCCAGGCGCTCGGGAGACCAGGAGGGTGTGGAGATTAATCACTCACAGTCTACCCCAGTCCACGGATGGCTGGAGATTAACCGCTCACAGTCTACCCCAGTCCACGGATGGCTGGAGATTAACTGCTCACAGTCTACCCCCGCCCACGGATGGCTGGAGATTAACCGCTCACAGTCTACCCCAGTCCACGGATGGCTGGAGATTAACCGCTCACAGTCTACCCCCGCCCACGGATGGCTGGAGATTAACCACTCACAGTCTACCCCAGTCCACGGATGGCTGGAGATTAACCGCTCACAGTCTACCCCAGTCCACGGATGGCTGGAGATTAACCGCTCACAGTCTACCCCAGTCCACGGATGGCTGGAGATTAACCATTCACAGTCTACCCCAGTCCACGGATGCCTGGAGATTAACCGCTCACAGTCTACCCCAGCCCATGGATGGCTGGAGCTGCAGGAGTGCCCAGTGGTGCGTGGCCAAGAGACTGTGGTGCTCAAACACCCCAACATCAAGCAGCCTGGCACTTGTACCTACCCTTCTCACAGCGCCTTCCCTTCAAACTCCTTTGTGATCCACCGAGCAGCTCACAGTAACATCACCTTGGGTGCAGAGGGGTTAACATGATTTCTAAATGCTCAGAGATATCCCGACTGAGATGGCTCCCTGAACTTCCTGCTTGATTTGCTGATGAAATCCCCAAGGTCACTCTTCACTTTTGTTTCCTTGAGATGAGGTCTTTCTACATTGCCCAGGCTGTAGTCACTCTCCTGGGCTCAAGTGATCCTCCTGCCTCAGCATCCCAGGTAGCTGCGATCACAGACAGGTGCCACTGCACTTGGCTGCCCTTTATTTTTGAAGGGAAAAATATCTACTCCAGATTTGATGTATTCTCACTCAGGCGGACTGAAGTCCTCCTAGGACTCCATGAATTTCCAGTCACGGCACAGCCATGTCTCCCGCCCCCATCACAAGGACTCCATTTGGAAATGGAGACGCTGAGAACCTGTCCGAATCCCAGTGCTCCGGTCACCTCTACCTGTCCAGCCTTCCCACCTGTGCCTTTCCCGAGGCGAGCTGAGCAGAGGCTGGTTCACGCACCACGTCCCAGCGGCAGCTCTTGGTGCCTCTGTGTTGCAGTAAAAGCTCCCAGGGTGCTTCCTAAGAGCAGACGCCACCAGCCATCTGGGAATTAATCGGTGGCCACAGAGGGTCCCCCTGTCAATTGCCTGGACTCTCTCCCAAGCTTTTGAGGCTGTGACGTCACGTGTTTCTAGAGCCTTTTCAGGAAGAGCCGGCTGAGACGTCATGTGATTCTAGAGCCTTTTCAGGAAGAGCCTGCACTTCTGGACCCTTCCTTTTCTCAAATAGCCAAGACCCTGAGGAACAGGCTGCCCGTCGCCTCAGGGGCTATCCCCGACCCCTCCTGGTTGGACACACCTCCTCGACATCAGCTATAAAACTATCACTTTACTGAGGCAGAGCATTGACTTCTTAACCTACAGTTACAAAAAATAAAAACAAAACTGGTTTTCTCTTAGGAGAGGAAAAAACGCGATGGACCTTTCCAGGACAAGGGACGTGAGATGCAGAAATTCCCACCTGGCCCCTCCTTGACGGACAGGAAACACAGGAAACCCAACCACATTCCGGTTCCCCATGATGCAGAGACCAGCCCTAATGACTGCAATTACGGCTCCGTTTAACAGACAACTGACTGGATGTTACAATGGAGCTGTCAGCCCCACTGAATTAATCCTGCTGGAGGACCATTTTCATCTGTTGCTCCTGTTCCAGGCAAACAGCCCTGGTCAGCTCTGGGACCAAGTCCAGGCTCTGGAGAGGGCCGGTGTTCAAGGCCATCTGTAATTTAGTTCAGCCTCATAAATCTAAGCTTCTCTCTCTTTGCACTCTACTGCCCCTAAGAACCTCTTATTCAGATTTTTTCTTCCCTCTTCCTTGCTTTCTCCTCTCCTACTGCCTCATCCATCTCCATCCCTCCCTCATTTCCAGGCAGATGTCAAGGATCTCACAAGAAGGATGGGGAAATGGGCTGGGTTCTTTGGCGAATCAGCCAACATGCAGTTCCCAGCCTGTCTCTCCTGTCCTTCAGGCCTCAAAATTACCCAAACTATCACATCATAGGTGTATATAGACATATACACACACACACAAGTGTTCTTTGTCCAGTTTCACCAGGTGTGAAAACTAAGATCGAATAGATGAAGGTATGCAGTAAGTTGCTCAAGACCACACACGGTCATTACACGGTCAGCCTGGCTTCCAGCCGGGGTCCACCGTCACTCACACCTGTGAGTATCACTTCACTCCAAAATCCATCTTTCTTTAAATCCCAGAATCCCCGGGTTCTTCCACACCATGGCCTGTAATTGTTCTCTCGTGAGAACTTCCGATCTCAGAAGATGATGAGATTGTCTCATCCTGTTTAGTTTCAATCTCTCGCGGAATCTAACACAGCGCAGGGCACACAGTAGGAGCAGATAAAAACCCGCTGATATTCTGTGATGGGTGTGACTTACCCCCTCACTACTCAAACTCTGGTCTGTGGACCGGCATTGCTGCCATGTATGGCAACCTTTTCAGAGATGCAGAATTCAGGTCCCGCTCCAGACCCATGAGTCAGAATCTGCATTCTCCTGAGATCCTCAGGTGGTTCGTAAGCACATTGAAGTTTCAAGAGCACTACTTTACCCTACATGCTTAGTTCAAAAGAACGCCTTTTTGGAAGTGACCTATTTTTTGACACTTGACATGCACACACCCAGGGGCAGGCTCACAGGTGGTCAGGCTGAGTCCTGATACAGGCACTTCCTACTCCTCCCTAAATGAGAACGAGCCTGCCTTCATCCAGCCCCCTGACTGCTGCACCATCCACTCACCAGAACACAGAGGACAACCTTTAGGTGACATTGGCTGCATTAGAATAACAGTGATATTTCATCACTGTAAAGTGAGAGTGGAGAAATCATTTGTGTGTGTGGTTGGGTATAGAGCGAGAATAAGGGGATTTCTATAAACTCAGTTCTTCGCACCGTCATCCATTCCTTGATATAAAGACATCTCTTCTTATCTGTAGGAAGTACATTCAAACGAGAAGCTGAAACTTAAAGGGAAGAGTAGAGAATCTGCTAGATAAAAGAGAACCTTTAGCATCTGTTCCACAGAGATCGCTGAGAAGGGTATCCCTACTCAGGACACGCAAAATGCACACGCAGAAAAGGCACTTTGGGGAGGCCTCCTTTCTGTGAAGCTTCAACTCTCAGGGTCATCAGTCTCATGGGTTCTAACACCGAAGGGTGGGCGGCCTCGTCACCGAAGGACACGCCAGTCTCATGGATTCTAACACCGAGGGGTGGGTGGCCTCGTCACCGAAGGACACGCCAGTCTCATGGATTCTAACACCGAGGGGTGGGCGGCCTCATCACCGAAGGACACACTAGTCTCATGGATTCTAACACTGAGGGGTGGGTGCTGCAGGACACACACGTCTATAATCCCCTCGTGCAGGACACACACATCGTGTTAATAGGAATAACAGACCTCAAAACAAACAAACGAACAAACAAACGAACTAACAAACAAACAAAAACCCTAAGAGAAACACCCAAGCAGCCCATTTGGGAGAGCCGGAGAGCAGCTTACGGAACCGGCGTGGATGTGGGTGCCCGGCAGATGGATGGGGTGGTGGCGAGGAGAACTCTGCAATCACCGGAGTACACGGAAACCGTGATGTCGCTCAGCTTCTCGGGAGCGCATGTGCTCACCCCATCTGTGAAAAATGCGTGCGCCTTGAAGAGGCGTGGCTGGTCGGTGGGCAGCGGCTGATTAACAGCTCAGACAAGACATGGCTGCTTTTTCCTCGAGCTGCATCTGATCAGGCGTGTTCAGTGGCTTGGGTGATTGTCATTTGGGTGGATTCAAGGTGAATGCCTGAGGCCTCTGGATCTCACACAGGTGCACAGGAGACTGAGGAGGAAGCGTTGGGCAGTAGGGATCCTGGGGCCCCACTTGCTGCCTTGACTGGGACAGGTGAAGGAGGCATTGCCTGGCCCCCCATCCCCAGAGCCTCTGCCTGTGACTGTCCCGTGTTACGGCCTCTGTGGTGTCTCCACACCTCCCATCTCCTGGGGAATTCCTCTGCATTAGAAAATGGACTTGGAATACATTCCTTAAAACATGTTTTTGTATGTCTGACATCTCCTTCTTCCTACAGAAAGGGTAATGATTCCCCATTATAAGAAACCCAAACTGAAACCACACATCCTCACAGTCCTGAGGGCTCACACACGCCCCACAACAGCATGGACGTCCACTGCACAGCACAACAGGTGCCAAGAGGAGCCGTGCCTGCCCCTGGCCCAGGCCTCACCCCCAGTACATACACACACACACACACATATACTACATACATGCACCACAGACACACACACACACACACACACACACACACACTGCATCTATACATACAGAATACATGCATACACATACACCAACAGATACATCACACCACACGCACACAGATACACAGATACTGTACACACCACATGTGTATACACACACAACAGACACACAGATACACAGATGCTGTACACATGTGCACACTTGCACACACCACAGGCGTACACATACACACACATCACACAGATAGATACTGCACATGTGCACACATGTACATAGACACATGTGTATACACACACACCACATATACACAGATACACAGATACTGTACACACCACATGTGTACACATACACACATCACACACAGAGCTAGATACCACACATGTGCACACATGTACATACACACCACATGCTTACACACACACCACAGATAGATACCGTACACATACACACATGTGTACACACAAGCACCTACACCGCACACACGTACACAGAGGCACCGCTGTGTGTCTGCGGATGCTGCCTGGTGATGAGGGAGGGCACAGCACACAAGCCCCTCACAGGGAAATGTGCTCTGGGTCAAGCTCCATTCACTGGATCCCACGGCCTGGACCACGTCACAGGCATCTGACAAACAGGCACTGAACCAGGAGCTCTGAGTGTGTAAATCCCTGTGTGAGCTGCACCTGTGTCTACCCCTGCCGTGCCGGTGACCACACACTGGGTGTCTAAAGCGATCTATATCCGTCCGGAGATGCGATGTCCAAAACGGACTCCCTGGGCTGAAGCACACTGTCCCCAGGACCTGGCTTCCTTCTGGAGGCTCTGGAGAATCTTCCTCCCCTTCCAGGTCCTCTCGGCGTCTTCATCCAATCCTTGAAGCCCTGCAGGGAACAGAAGGCCGTCCCTTCCCGAGGAAGGGGGAGCCCCCTGCCCCACGGCCCCTGAGCGGGAGCAGAGCTCCTGCTGGTTCCAGGGTCGCTGAGGGCCTCACACCTGCGCGGGGATGCTGGGGACTTCGGCTCTGTGGTTGGGACCTGCCAGCCTCCACAATCACACGCGTGCATGCACCCCTGGTTCTGCGTCTCTCGAGAACCCTGATGGACAAGGGGCTCCCTACGCAGCGGCTTCAGCCTCCACAGGGCTCCGTGGCATCCTCCTCTTCCTCCCACGGCTCCAGGCCTCGGGGACGGGGAGCAGCCTCCCCAGTGCTGGTCTCTGGGCATCTCGGCACCCGCCTGGCCGCTCACGCCACACTCACCTCTAGGTGTGGGTCCCTAACGGTGGGGTCCGGGGAGACAGCCGCGCCTTCTTTCCCTAAGGCCGAGCGCAGCGCCCCGCCGTGCACAACACGCTCCTGGAGCTGAATCGCGCACCGCCCGGAGGCGGCGTGGAGAAACCGAGCACGGGAGCCAGCAGCGGACGCATCGTTCGATGCCAAACCGATATGTGGGAACGGAAAACAAAGCGAAAGCTGCCACTCTCCATTCTCTCAGAGTCTTCTGGAAGCTTCCGTCCAGCAAGTCAGGAACCCGTGTTATTACAGCTCTGTAAGTCCGAATCCAGGCTGATTTCAACGTGTCTCTAAATAAGATCCAACCTTTGAAGGTCAAGGGCTGTGCGCTCCCCTGAGGCTTTGTCAAACCAACATCTGCAGTTTGCCGTCCAGCGCAAGTGACGCTTTGGTGACGCTAATGGACGTGGCAGTGGGACGTGCAGGCGGGAGGCTCTTTCCGGAGGTCCGAGGAGCTGGCGGGTCAGACCAGAGAACAATCAGCATCCAGGCCCTTCAGCCCCCGAGGAGCACGAGGCCAGATGGATGGTTTATGAGGAACAAGCATCGCAGTGTGAACGGAAACACCATGAATCATTTCAGAACAACTGCTAGTGACTGTCCTTGAGGAAATACATCGGAAAGCACAGTTTTAACAAGCTCTGAAGATGAATTAGGAGCCGGGGCCACGGGACTGAGCTCAGTGAGAAAAGAACACGCAGGACCCCGGAGCAAGAGGCTGGAGACGGCGCATGAAGCCTCGATGGGGAAAGAGGCAGTGAGGAAAAGACACGAAGCTGTCCCAGGAGGAAGGTGACACCCGGTGCTGCACGGTGGGGAGGAGAGCACGGGGGCCAGGGAAACCCAGCCTCTCCTGTGGGCCTGTGCAGGGATCCGCTCCCGGCCCCCACGCCCCCGACCCTTCAGCCTACATCCATCCCAGCTTCCCTGTACGGAGTCGTCCTCATCCTCCTGTTCTCGGGGTCACCCCCAGCCTCCCCACACTTTTCCACAGGATGGGACCCCCGGGGATGCACAGACTGACCCCTGCTGAGACCCGGCCTCTGCGGGGGGTTGTGGGGGGGAATCCTTCCACCTCGTGGCTGTCATCACCAGGGGAGGGGGCGGTGTAGAGATCACACTCTCCACCCAGTGACACAGCCGATGATTCCAGTGTTTCTAAGAGTTATTTTTTTTCCCTCTTCACTGATCTGAAAATAATCATCGTTTAAGTGTTTCCATACACACCTTCCATCATGCAAGAGCTCTCATGCTAAAGTGTCCTAGATACAAACATTCAGCCCGAGTGAGAGCCACCGAGTGCAAATACCCATAAGACTCTCCATCAGAAAGTGGGATTTTTCACTAAAAGGACAGCATTCACTTTCTAGCGCCCATCTGGCTGGCATGAGTTTGGCTCATGAAGATGGTGTTTCCCGAGGTCATTACTTTTCTGAAGCCAACTGCTGAGTCTCCTGACCTAGAAGAGGTAGCTGTGCTGTGATCCAGACACACAGGCAGCCTTCACTGGACTGCCTGTGCCTTTACTGTGTCCTCCTACCCTACTTTTATCCAACATTTTAACATGTCCACTAATTTGTAATAAGCGCTCACTTCTCTTCTGTAATCCTGGAATCTATTTTTCTACTAAGTATGCAAAAAAGAAACTGCTACATAGATTAATAGCCAAAAGAGATCACCAGGGAGAAGCTCAACCTGCTCAAATATTGCAAGATATCTGTTGAGTGAAGCAGAGTCTTCAACGATATCTATTCAGCCATGCTTTCAATTATCCACACTGAGTGAAGATATTAAAATCTCATTTCTACACTATTCATCAATACCCCAGAATTCTCTTCAGTAATTCAGACGACTGTTGCTGCGGTTGTTGTTGTGTGTATGTGTGTTTAAGTACTCTTTAATTATTTCAGATGACTTAGATCCTTTCTAAACTGAGCAGTCTGGAAGTCTGGAACTTCACCTTTATTCAACCACGCGACCTCTGCTGCATTTTAAGGAGCAGCTGAAACTCAGCTCTGAGGATTCATCCACAACTGGTATAGCCCTTGCCAAGCACAGTCTGCCTGTATCCAGGTCCCGGGCACACACGCCCGCTGCCACCCTTCCCTGTGCACCTGCATAGGCAGGCGTGGGGGTGCAGCTCCTAACCCCCAGCCAAGACCAATGCCTAGCCCAGGAGGGAGGTGCCCATCCCCCTGCTGTAGGGCTCACTCCCGAGGGAAAGGGGAAGCATCGTTCAGGTGTGGTCTTGCCAAAGGACACCTTCCCGCACACCCAGGCACACGTGTCTCTTCAGGACATGAGGGGCCTGCCTGACCCATGGACATGGGGTGGAGCTGGGCCTGAGCGGCTCGGCCTTTCTCCCCTTGCCTTTTGGGGTCTGCCAGTCTGCAGAGCACACACTCTCATCTGCAAACCATACCTGCCACCTGGGACCTGGCCCTCCTGAGTCATGAGTGCCCTCCTCGCAGCCCCTTCCCCCGAGCTCTGGGGGATGCTCATCCTTCTGGACCACAGGCCCTGGCTCCACCTGCACTTATAGAGGTGGGTGGGAGGCAGCTGCCACCTGCGCTCCCTCTGCACACCCAGGACACAAGGTCCAGGCAGCTCTCTGTGGAAAGCAGTGGTGCAACATGCGTGACGCCCCACGACGAAGCTGTTGTTGTCATTTCAAAACAATAGGGAGGTTTTTCTGGGCTGCTTTCTGGTCACAAACTTGAAGCTTACAAAAGTCCCTTTCCTCCTTAGAGGGATGTGCAGCTTGTTAATGGGGGTGAGGAGCTGGAATCCTCAAGGAAATTGCTCCTTTTCGCCGCAGCATAGCCCAGCACCACACCGGAGGGCCTGTGTGGGAGTCTACGTCCACACACCCACACGCACACACGCACACACGTACACACACACACACAGAACCACACAGGTAACAGTCCACAGAATTGGCCTCTGTTCCTCATCCACGGCCATGGCTCATTTCCAGTGGGTCCCTGAATGACCCAGGCTACTCCTCAAAGGTCACTCATAGGACAGACATGGGTGTGCAAGGGTGAGGACAGATGCACATGTGGGCCAGTTCTGGGAGGATGCACCCTGATTCCACTCATTCCCCATGAGAGGAAACACTGCAGGGGGCCCAGGAGACGAGAAACCTGATTCCACTCATCCCCCATGGGAGGGAACGCTGCAGGAGGCCCAGGAGATGAAAAAGGTAGTGCGGTTCATGTGGACATCTGGTGGCCCAGACCCTCAACATTGGCGTGGCTCAGGTTTATATGGACAGCTGGTGGCCCAGATGCTCCACATTGACGTGGCTCAGGTTTATATGGACAGCTGGTGGCCCAGATGCTCCACATTGGCGTGGCTCAGGTTTATATGGACAGCTGGTGGCCCAGATGCTCCACATTGGCTTCGCTCAGGTTTAGGTGGACAGCTGGTGGCCTGGATGCTACATGTTGGTGTAGCTCAGGTTTATGTAGACAGCTGGTGGCCCAGCTGCTCCGCATCCATGTGGCTTAGCTTTATGGAACATAAACAGTGCTTGACCCTGGGCTATGAAGTAGCCCTTTTTCTACAGCATTTTCTATCCAGGGCCTTTGTCTTGGTTTGGGTTCCCCGGAAAGAAAAGGCTCAGGTATTGAGACAAGGGCTCAGGTACTGAGCAGAAGAGGAGGGAGGGTGTCGTGGTGAATTCTGTGTCAGCATGGACAGGGATAAGTGATAGCCAGGTAACTGGTGAAACATGACTTCCGGGTGTGTCTGTGATGGCATTTCCAGAAGAGACCTGAAGTGGACTCTGCAATGTGGGAACATGACTTCCGTGTGTGTCTGTGACGGCGTTTCCAGAAGAGACCTGCACTGGACTCTGCAATGCGGGTGTGCATCCTCCAATCCACTGAGGGCCCAGGAAGAACAAAAAGGTGGAGAAAGGAGAATTTGTTCCTTCTTCTTGGGCGAGGCCTCCATCTCCTCCTGACCACAGACATTGCCCACCCCGATTTTCAGGCCTTCAAACGCAGACTTAATCACACCTCTGGCTTCCCTGGGTCTCCAGCTTGTGGATGGACAATAGTGGGACCTCTCAGCCCCCATAATCACAGCGACCAATTCCCATAATAAATCCCCTCTTGCCTGTCTGTATATATCCTGTCAGTCTCACTTTTCGGGAGAACCCTGGTGTATGTGTGATGAGCAGTTACCGCCCCTGGCTCATCACTGCTGCAGCTGACATGCAGCCGTCCAAGCCAGGAGGCACAGGCTCCTACTGCAGCTACTGGAGCCCCACTGACAACGTGCGGCTGCTTGGGAAATCATGGCAGATGGCACTACCTTTCCTGACATATGTGGTTTTCAAATTACTCTTTTCATCTCAGAGATACCCCCCTCGACCTGCAGATGCCTCTGCACAAGTGCTGTTGGTGATGACAGCCACTTTTTTGTCATTATTCTTTTGCTTATCAGCTGAGAAACTCCATGCTATGAAAATCACAGACGACTTGTTCCAGCTCAGGCTTGAAACGTGAGGAAAGCACGAATATTTCCTTCGGGGGCACAGGATCACTGTCTCGTTCACTCACTCAGCATTAACATCACACACCTATCTGGCTTCTCCCCTGTGTTAGCCCCTGTGCTGACACCTGGGGATGGGGGAAAGACAGGTACACTCCAAACAGGAGAATTTCATGGTGCTTGGGAAATAGTTGTCACTGCAGTGTGTGGACACAAATGCTTTACTCTATGCAGATGCATTTACACACACACAGTGAAACGTGGCCTACTTCTAAAAGAATTGAAGGATATTTTACCAAACAAAACACATAACATGAAAGTAGGGTCTTTAACAGGTGAGCACTACTACAACAAGCAGTTAAGTGGATCAGGAAAAAATGTGACGGGGCCCTGGATATCGGTGATGCCTAAGTTATGACACAGCTTTCCAGGTTGTGGCCTCAGTTTCATTTTTCTCTACGTCATGGCTATTTGAGAGAAGCTTAACTCTGCTCACGAACGTGAGCATCCCCACAGCTGCCCAGTGTGACAATCCAAACATGGAGGTAACTATTAATTAAGTTGAAACAAAATATTCTTGCACTTTGTGGGAGAATTAGAAATGCTAAAAACTTCGGTTAAGAAAAATGACCCTCATTTGGAAGCGTTTTCGCAGAACGTATCTACCGCTGCAAGGCCTCGGAGCAGGTCACGCACTCCGGGGAACGCGCCACACGGTCAGCTCCTGGGTGAGCAACGATGGTGATGCGATTATCTGTGTAACTAAAATTAAACAAACGTTCTGACATACAACACACGCCCCTAATGCCTGATAAGACGTCCATAAACAAAAAAGAAGAGAATCCTTTGGAAGATAATTTTTTAATAATTACAGAAATTTTTACATAAGAATTAGATGTTTTATGAGTGAATTAAGAATTATATGTTTTTAAAAGACTATTTTTAGGAAGGTACCAAGTAATTGGATAGGCAGCAAGCATTTTTCCAAGTGGGGAAACAATTGTTTTCTCAGTAGTGCTTTCTGAAAACAGTTTTCTGTCCTGGTTCACTGTGCAGCCTGTTTCCCATTTAAAAACACTTCACCATGTTTTTCATTAATAACACATATATCCTCCGTCTCTGACCTGTCGGTGGCTGCGTGCATCTGGCCAGGCCTCCATGCCTGGTAGACAGCCCTGACTTCAGGCTCTGCTCCTGAGGGTGCAGGGAAGCCAGTTCTAACTGGGTGCTTGGCCAGCGGGAGGCAGAACTGGGAGGCCTGTCCTGGACACCAGCAGCCCCAGTCCCAGCTGGGATGACCATGGGGCACCTTCCTGACACCCTCGTCTCTTCAGATGTTCACTGTTCTGACGCCTTTGCGACCAGGGGCAGTCTAATCTCCACCTGCTGCAGCCATGAGGATGCCGGGGGCCTGGAAAGAGCTTGAGCACTCATGCTGGGGCGGACGCCTCTGAAACGAACAAAGTGTGCCCAAGCTTCTCAGGAGAGCAGGGCACGAGGAATGAAGGCCGGGAGAGCGGAGGGGGTGCAGCCCTATGCTGGGACAGCCCTGACTGTCCGTTGGTAGTTGACAACTGAACGCCCAGGTGGTCTCAGCAGCAAAGCGTGAGCACCAAGCACAGACACAGCCCTAGAGTCTGAGACTGAGCGAAGAACCCTGGCCACACACGTCACAGTGGTGGCCTCAAGCCAGAGAGGACGATAAGAGACTTCTGTAGGGAACAGAGGGTTCCAAACTTCAGGTCTAATGAAGCTCATCGGGCCCAGGGACTCTCCACAGCCGCCCAGGACACCTGAAGCAGCTCCGGGACGACCCTGTGGTCAGGTGAGTTTCCCAAAGCAGCAGCCCCAACACGTTCCTATAGCAAGGACTCGGCTTCCAGAATCTTCCCTGCTGAACAGGCAGGCGTGGGTGCTTGAGGGCTTCCTGACTGGTCCTGAACTCTGCATGTGATGGAGAATTTCTTCACATCACAAGGAGTGACCCAGAGGGACCCCTGGGGATGACCTGGAAAGTGGGACTGAGGGAAGCTCTGCCGTCCTCCCCACCTGGAGGCCGCCCTGGGCAGGAGGAGCCTCCAGCTCTGCCTAGACACGGTGAGCATGGTGCCCTTATGTGGGCCGGCCGCCAACCGACCACTGACTGTCTGCCAGGCATCCGGGCTCCCTCCACCAGCCGGGACGCGGCACTGCCAACGTCTGCTTGTCTCTTGCAGGTTCACTCTCAAAATCGCAGAGCCTGTGTTTCCAACTTGCCAGCAGCTGAGCTCCTCCTGAGTCGGGCTGAGAACAAGGCGTGGCCTCCCACAGGCGGCAGTTTCTTCTTTAAAATTCCCCCGCCCCTCAAGGGTAGGGACTGTGTCTTACTCACTTTATCTAATTTTCCACAGCGTCAAAACTGGACTTGGTATACTGCGGCATCCCAGTTCACACCTGTCACGTTGACTTGAATGTCACAGTACGTGGATTTGGTCCCGGTAATGCCAAGGAGAAATTTCACCTGAGGCTTCAGATACTACGACTTCCTTCCCGTCAAGCTCTCAGCAAAGACCTTAAATTACTGAGAACGAAAACGTCCCTCCAGCGGCTCCTCCTGGCTGGGGACAGGAGGCGGGGGCGGCGCGGTGCGGAGGCTCTAGAGGCCGACGCTGGGATCTGCCCCACCCGGATGCTGTCTGGGGGTCTCAGGTGCTGGCTGCAGGGGGCATGGTGCGGAGGCTCTAGAGGCCGAGACTGGGATCTGCTCCACAGGACCCCCAACCCGGATGCTGTCCGGGAGTCTCAGGTGCAGAGAGGGCCAGCCACGCGAGACTCAGGTGGCTTCAATGGGATCGTTCACAGAAACAGCCGTGCCAGGGAAGCAACCTAAGTATCCACCAGCGGACACACAGATAATGGGGTGGTGTGTGGACACAGCAGCGTATATCCAGCTTTAAACAAGAAGCAAACCCTGCCATCTGTGGATTTCAGCGTGAATGAGCCCTGAACGCATGGTGCTAAGTGACAGAAACCAGACACTTCTCAAAAGAAGACATTTATGTAGCCAAAAGACACATGAAAAAATGCTCATCATCACTGGCCATCAGACAAATGCAAATCAAAACCACAATGAGATACCATCTCAGACCAGTTAGAATGGCGATCATTAAAAAGCCAGGAAACAACAGGTGCTGGAGAGGATGTGGAGAAATGGGAACACTTTTACACTGTTGGTGGGACAGTAAACTGGTTCAACCATTGTGGAAGACGGTGTGGCGATTCCTCAAGGATCTAGAACTAGAAATACCATTTGACCCAGCAATCCCATTACCGGTTATATACCCAAAGGATTATAAATCATGCTGCTATAAAGACACATGCACACGTATGTTTATAGCGGCACTATTCACCATAGCAAAGACTTGGAAGCAACCCAAATGTCCAACAATGATAGACTGGATTAAGAAAATGTGGCACATATACACCATGGAATACTATGCAGCCATAAAAATTGATAAGTTCATGTCCTTTGTAAGGACATGGATGAAGCTGGAAACCATCATTCTCAGCAAACTATCACAAGGACAAAAAACCAAACACCGCATGTTCTCACTCATAGGTGGGAAGTGAACAATGAAATCACTTGGACACAGGAAGGGGAGCATCACACACCAGGGCCTGTTGTGGGGTGGGGGGAGTGGGGAGGGATAGCTTTAGGAGATATACCTAATGTTAAATGAGGAGTTAATGGGTGCAGCACACCAACATGGCACATGTTTCCATATGTAACTAACCTGCACATTGTGCACACGTACCCTAAAACTTAAAGTATAATAATAATTAAAAAAAAAAAAAAGAAACCAGATACATAAAGCCAAGCACCCCAGAGCTCACTCACTGACATGATGCATCCAAGACACTCAGACTCGTGGGAGTGGAGAGGGAGGGCGGGGCTGGGGACAGACTTGAGAGAGGCTGGACAAAGGGCATGAGATTTCAGACAGACGGAGGAGCAGGTTTAAGAGCTCTATTGCTCATCACGGTGACTGCAGTTCATAGCAACACATCATATTCTAGAAAATCACTGACAGTGGATTTCATTGTTCTCACCGCAAAAAAGTGAGGTGATCCATCTGTTAATCAGCTTGATCGAGCTATTCCGCAAGGTATTCACAATGCAAAGCATCATATTCTACACCATAAATATATACTTTTGTCACTTAAAATTAATAAGCGTAAATAAGTACTTGAAAACAAGGGCTAAACCCATTGCCCAGCTCAGCTGGCACCTGCTTCATGGCCCTGGCTGTGGTTGATCATAGCAACAGAAGCATCTGGACAGCCCCACCCACAGCTCCAAGCCCAGCCCATCACGGCAGCCAGTTTCATCACGTACGAGAGGAGAAAGCCATCTAGAAAGTGCAGGGGCCACGCACACCTCAAATCCATCTCAGAGAGCCCTGGGAGGCTGGCAGCGGCTACGAATGTCCAGTCATACAAGGTAACCGGAACTCACAGCCCCATGCTGTGATTTTGAGATGTTAAGTTTTGAAGTCATTGCTACACATGCACATGAGAAAACAATGGCCGTAGTTGAGGGATCAGTGAGCTTCATGCTCAGAGGGGCCAACTGCACCAAGAATAAAGGCGCTTCCTATTGACTGTAATGTGAACACGTAATATCAGCTTAAAGGCATATCTTATATAATACGGTTTATTTCTATACAATTGAATTTCAAGGTAAAGGACCCCTGGAAGAAGGAAAATACATAAAAATAGGAGGGTAAAGTGTGATCAGAGGTGGAAATTAAAGAGTTAGTTGCAATGAGCTCAAGTTCCTTCTTGATTTCTAATGTTTTGAAGCTTTGTCTGCTCATTGCAACAGAGAACGGACCCAGATACGGCGCGTTGTGGCTGCCTGTCTTGTTCTATGTAAGAAGTGCAGAGGGCGGATTTTCAGAATTAATTTCAAGAGATAACACTTTCTACTTCTTGTTTTACTTAGTACTTTAGACAGGATTGTAGAATTTTCTTATAGATAAAACGTATCGGCTGGGCGCGGTGGCTCACGCCTATAATCCCCGCACTTTGGGAGGCTGAGGCGGGCAGATCACAAGGTCAGGAGATCAAGACCATCCTGGCTAACACGGTGAAATCCCGTCTCTACCAAAAATACAAAAAATTAGCCGGGCGTGGTGGCGGGTGCCTGTAGTCCCAGCTACTCGGGAGGCTGAGGCAGGAGAATGGCCTGAACCCGGGAGGTGGAGCTGCAGTGAGCCGAGATCGCGCCACTGTACTCCAGCCTGGGTGACAGAGTGAGATTCCGTCTCAAAAAAAAAAAAAAAATGTATCTACTTATATTGAAACACTTAGTTACAAGAAATTTATTCACAAAATGTATTGCAAGACATCCCACGTAAATAAATCAAACACTTCAAAGCTTCAGAACCCAGCCTCTCCCCGTGGGATGTGGCAGGGTCATCCTGGACCTGCTGGACTCAGGTCCCTTAGCTCCCCTGACCATGAGGAATTGGTCCAAGCCTCACCCACCCCCCTCGCTGCGCTGCTGGGGATGTCGCACCATGGGACGGCTTCCATAGGAGAAGCATGGTGCATAAACACGCCCCGTGCACTGAACGGCCACAGACCCCACGCTTGCTGCTGCGTGCGCCTGGAGCCTGGGCTCTGGTCTTGGGTCTGCCCCCTACAGACCCCACGCCTTGCTGCTGCGTGCACCTGGAACCTGGGCTCTAGTCATGGGTCTGCCCCTGGTGTAAGGACCTTCATTGAGGCAGGTGACCTCTGGCCCTGGCTTTCTTCTTCTCTACGTAAGACACGGGGTTGGGAGGATGAGGATAAGCCTCCCAGCCAACCACACACTCACAACCTCGCACAGTCACCAAACAGCTGTTTTGGCTCTCAATGCTGATTGCGACAGGCGGCTCGCAGTGCCCTGTGAGATGAGAAGCAAGGACGGGGCGGCCAGAGGCGTCGAACGGGACGGGTGCCTCCTGCATGAGATGCTGCCGGGAAAGATTGCCCGGCACCAAGTGTCAGTGTCACAGGGGAGCGACTCCAACAGCAGATGCCCCAACAGCAGATGCCCCAACAGCAGATGCCCCGACCCTGACTCTCGCCACTCCAAGCACATAACTGCCAACTAACACAGGCCTCAGCATCACATTTCTATTTCACCGAGCCACGTGAAAGGCAACAGAGGAGATGGAGGGCACGTTGGTGCCATAAACCACAGCAAGTGGGGAGTGCCGTGGACTTGGAGGACTCTCTGTGAGACCACCAGAATCTGGAAGAGGTCTGGGTCTGAGCATTAGGGCAACATGGAATCTATTTATCTAAAGTGCAATCCATAACTCAACTCAGGCCCTACAAAGTGCAGTTGTTTATTATTAGCAGTAAGAGTCCAGAGGGCACTTCCCTCAAGGAGCAGAAAACCAGAGCCCGTAATTAGCCTGCCAACTCTCAGTGAATAAAGGAGGGCCTTTAAACTCCAGAAAACGGGGGTTCTCCTTTTAATGGTGTTAAGAATTTGCTGCAATCTCATTCACCCTACTTGGCTTTTCCTAGGATTTTCACCTCCTTTCCTGGCACCCAAAGCCGTGAGTTACCCTCCCCCATCACCTCTGTGATTTTCCTTAATCTCCGCCTCCTGCCTGCTGGAGCAGCCCCTTCTTGCCCTCAGGGGGACCCCTCCTGCAGCCCTCCCGCTTATGGAAGTGGCCCAGGCAGGCGGCTGTATCTGCCGTGTCCTGAACACAAATGCCTATTGGATAACTCGAGCTCGCTTCATATTACAAACTGTAAACTTCCTGAGGGGAAAACTCGGCCCTGTCATTGATCCATCCCGTTTCCAGGCATGGGGATGTCACACGTCAACTGCTAAACGTGCTTGAATGACAAAAAATACTGTTTCTACACAATAAAAGGTAGAGTTTAAGCTGGTCTTTCCCTAACCAAATGCTGTGAATTCATAATCCTTAAAGTGTAAACTTGAGTTACTCTACACTAGTTGCTTGAGTGGATAAAAGAAGGTCTGGTTTAAACGTCTCTTGGTGGTGACCACTCCTCTTCCAAATGCTTCTGACATGGTAACTGCACTCCAGATGGTTCAGTGTCTTAATGTTATTTAGGGACCAGGTTGACCTATCTTCCTGCTGGATGTGTGACTCCTACGATGGGCTCCTGGGTCTCCCGCCCTTGCAGTTGGCCTTGACACTGAGCGACAGTGACTCCCGCTGGGGCCCGAACCCTGTGTATGCTCAACCCCAACCGCGGAACCGGCCTGGGGCCCAAATCCTGTGTAAGGTCAACCCCAACCGCGGAATCGGCCTGGGGCCCGAACCCTGTGTATGCTCAACCCCAACAGCGGAACCGCCATGGGGCCCGAACCCTGTGTAAGGTCAACCCCAACCGCGGAACCGGCCTGGGGCCCGAACCCTGTGTATGCTCAACCCCAACAGCGGAACCGCCATGGGGCCCGAACCCTGTGTAAGGTCAACCCCAACCGCGGAACCGGCCTGGGGCCCGAACCCTGTGTACGGTCAACCCCAACCGCGGAACCGGCCTGGAAGCCGCACCACAAGGCAACCTGTGTGAGGAGAAGATGTGGCATCATATATATTTGGAGGTGCTTTTTTAACTTTTTGGAGTGACAAGTCATTGTTTCCTAAAAAAAGGCACATCCTGAGGACGCAGCAGGTGGTCACCCCAAAGCTTTTGTTCAGCGTGTAACAGGAAATGTCTTTCCAGACGCTGACATCTCAGACTCTGTACTCATGATTACTGTTCATCTGCTTGCCAAAAAGAGAAGCAACATCTCTTCCTGCCCCCGGAGTGCTGGGCGGATGAGTCGCTGTTCTATTGGGAGGAGCTGTGAGATTCCGTGAGGCAAATGTCACGGACGTCCCGGGTGTGTGAGATTCCGTGAGGGAAACATCACGGAGATCCCGGGCGTCTGAGATTCCGTGAGGGAAACGTCACAGAGGTCCCGGGCGTGTGAGATTCCGTGAGGGAAACGTCACGGAAGTCCCGGGCGTGCGAGATTCCGTGAGGGAAACGTCACGGAGGTCCCGGGCGTGCGCGATTCTGTGAGGCAAATGTCATGGAGGTCCCGGGTGTGTGAGATTCCGTGAGGCAAACGTCACGGAGGTCCCGGGTGTGTGAGATTCCGTGAGGGAAACGTCACGGAAGTCCCGGGCGTGTGAGATTCTGTGAGGCAAACGTCACAGAGGTCCCGGGCGTGTGAGATTCCGTGAGGGAAACGTCACGGAAGTCCCGGGCGTGTGAGATTCCGTGAGGGAAACGTCACAGAGGTCCCGGGCGTGTGAGATTCCGTGAGGGAAACGTCACGGAAGTCCCGGGCGTGCGAGATTCCGTGAGGCAAATGTCACGGAGGTCCCGGGTGTGTGAGATTCCATGAGGCAAACGTCACGGAGGTCCCGGGTGTGTGAGATTCCGTGAGGGAAACATCACGGAAGTCCCGGGCGTGTGAGATTCCGTGAGGCAAACGTCACAGAGGTCCCAGGCGTTTGAGATTCCGTGAGGGAAACGTCACGGAAGTCCCGGGCGTGCAAGATTCCGTGAGGCAAATGTCACGGAGGTCCCGGGCGTGTGAGATTCCGTGAGGCAAACGTCACGGGGGTCCCGGGTGTGTGAGATTCCGTGAGGGAAACATCACGGAAGTCCCGGGCGTGTGAGATTCCATGAGGCAAACGTCACAGAGGTCCCGGGCGTGTGAGATTCCGTGAGGGAAACGTCACGGAAGTCTCGGGCGTGTGAGATTCCGTGAGGGAAACGTCACAGAGGTCCTGGGCGTGTGAGGGAAATGTCACAGAGGTCCCGGGCACGTGAGATTCCATGAGACAAACGTCACGGAGGTCCTGGGTGTGTGAGATTCCGTGAGGGAAACGTCACGGAGGTCCCGGGCGTGCGAGATTCCGTGAGGCAAACGTCACGGAGGTCCCGGGTGTGTGAGATTCCGTGAAGCAAACGTCACGGAGGTCCCGGGTGTGTGAGATTCCGTGAGGCAAATGTCACGGAGGTCCCGGGTGTGTGAGATTCCGTGAGGCAAACGTCACGGAGGTCCCGGGCGTGTGACATTCCGTGAGGGAAACGTCACGGAGGTCCCGGGCGTGTGAGATTCCGTGAGGGAAACGTCACAGAGGTCCTGGGCGTGTGAGGGAAATGTCACAGAGGTCCCGGGCATGTGAGATTCCATGAGACAAACGTCACAGAGGTCCCGTGTGTGTGAGATTCCATGAGGCAAACGTCACGGAGGTCCCGTGTGAAATTCCGTGAGGGAAATGTCACAGAGGTCCCAGGTGTTGTGACTATTGCCCCCATTGTTAAATTGCAGTCAATATGTAGCCAGTGCTATTTTGGCAACTGACAATCATCTTTGAACGTATTGATGCATCTCCAAGCAGCTGCTCAGAACAGCCCTTCCATGGGATTCTGGGGCCTGGGAAAGGCCCACGACCGCCACCTGCACTGAGGCCGGGCTTAGATTGTTCAATTAACGGGTGTGATGGAAACATGTGGAAAACAAGGCTCCTGGATTTTCCTTCTGCCCCACACAATTTCCCAAATACCTGTTTAAGGGATATGGGGTGGATGCGGTAGGGCAGACGTGGGGGCATGTGAAGGTGAGTGAGAAGAGCAGGAAGAAGACAAAAAGGCAAAGCCAAGCCAGGCACTCCTGCAGGTGGCTTCCATGAACCTCCAGACACGTCCAAGCTCCTTAGAGCCAGGGGAGGCGACGACGTGAAATTATCCCACAGATATTCACAACAGAATATCAGCTCAGAAAGGCCCCCCAGTCCCAACCTCCATGACAAAAAGGGAATGGTCATATCCCACAGATACTCACAACGGAGTGGAGTATCAGCTCAGAAGACACCGCACCCCCCACCTCCATGACAAAAAGGGAATGGCCGTAATAACATCTCTCAGGGTTATCAGGACGCTTAGAGAGGATAAGGCGCCTGGAAGTCACTGCAGTCACTGACAGCCTTGTTGATGGGTACTCGCTGGCTTAGGGCGTGAAGCAACTGAACTCGCTGCACAGCGGGCTGGAGAGGAGGCCTGGGAACTGTCCCCCACCCGTTTCTCTGCCTGGTCACAGTTTTGCTGCTGGCAGATTCTATGTCGATGCTGGTTAGAATAAGGAGGAAATAATTTTATGAACTGCCTTAATGGTGAGTACGCTGGATCTGCCCCCAAGGTTCGCAGATGCTCGGCCCTCTAGTAACTCCAGCATAGCTGCTGCTAGGGCACCTACCACAGACTGCAGCGCTGCCCTCGGTGCCACCGACCCATCGCAATCCTGGCACCAATGTTCACAAAACCTTCTGCCCGCAGACAAGGGCGCAAAGCGAGAAGCACCTTGGCGAGGCCACCGAGTGGGGAGGTGGCCCGGGCAGGATTCGACCCTGGGGCTGTCTCCAGAGCCCGCATTGCCACACTCCAAACCTGACTCACTCATGAACACAGGGACAGGGCAAGGAAGCTGGCCTGGTTAATACTTCCTGGAGGGAGGTGACAGGAGGCCCCGAGATCATGGAACTCCGAGGCGAGAAGTCCTTGGCAGAAGGGAACCTGCTTCTCAGTTCCGGAGTGTTCTCTGTGGGGCAAGTTGGGCGTCACTGCTGATTGGATCTCCTGAATGTGTGTTTGTGTTTAAAGCTAGATTACATTGTTCTTCCACCAGCCTTGGTTCCTACTGCACTGCTGACTGGATCTCCTGAATGTGTGTGAGTGTGTGTGTGTGAGTGTGAGTGTGTGTGTGTGTGTGAGTGTGAGTGTGTGTGTTTACAGCTAGTTTACATTGTTCTTCCACTAGCCTTGGTTTCTACTGCTTTTGGAATTGTGTGGTCCTTTTTACATTTTCTTTTTTACCATTTTGCATGATGGAATTAGCGAGTCAATAAATGACTAGTGGATGTTAGGATGTTTTGTGGAATGATGGTATGACGGTTCCTAGGAGCTTGATCAAACAACCCCACATCCAAAAATTCCTCCTTTTAGTCAATTTCAGCATCCTACTTGCATCTTAAACCATTCTATCTCATCCCAGAGGCAAAGCTGACCGGCCTTAGGGGTCACCTTGTACCTGCAGATGGCCCTGAAAGTGCCCTGGAGACAACACCTGATTCCAGGATGACGTCAGCAGAATGATGGTGTCACTCAGCCCGAGGCTTATGTCCATTGCACCACAGCCCTGAAGTTTGACAAAGAAACTCTCAGAGCCCCCATTATATCGGGCTAGAAAATACAGGAAAACCACCTTTCTGTGGAGCCCTGGAGAGGAACAAATGGAATAAAAATGAACAGCATTCGCCCGGCACGTGTTCAACAGTTATGCCGTCGCCACCAGTGCCAGGGTGCTCCTCTGCCCCAACACCCCAAGAGAGGCCGCAAGACGCAGAACCCTCGCCCGACCTTTCCTGGGAAACGAGTCACTTCACCATCCCCCGTCCCCCGGGTCAGACCCTTCAACAGCTCCCCACACTCCTGCTCTAAAGTCTGAGCTCCCTAGCAAACCTGGGTCTGAAATCTGCCTCTTCTGCACCAGGTTATATGATTTGGGGCAAGTGAGTCACCTTTGCAACACAGTGAGCTCCCTCCAACCTGGAGATCCTTAACTGGCATGGAGATTATAAGGCCAAGGCGTGCAACGTGCGCAGAGCACTTAGCCCAGGCCTGGAGAGGGCCAGATTCACCAACCAGTCATCGTCACCAGCATGCTTGCCTCCCGGTGGCCTCACCCTCCTCCCAGGCTACAGCTGCCCTGAGCCTCCTCCTGCTCCCTAACCACACCCCACTGTTTCCCGCAAACTCCGAGGGTGCTGCCTGCTGAAAACGACCTTGCACTCCAGCCCCAGGCTCGGCATCTGCCTGGGAAATCTCTACTAGTTTAAGATGCAGGTCGACCACCCGTTCTGTGGTCACTAGAATTCGCAGTGATGATTTCCCTCCAACTGCCCTGAGAACAGCGCGTGCACCCCGGGTACCCACTGGCTCCCAGAGAAGAATGGCCTCAGCCTCTTCTGCCCGTCTCCTTCACACGGGATGCTTCCAGCATTAAACTGTTACCAAGAGAAGAAAGGAAGACATGAGCTTGCGGACAGCCGCTCCCCAGAAGCGCCCACACTCCAGTCTGCGTTTCGGACGCATCTCCCACTACTGAGCACCTGTGTACACTTTCACCAAGTTTCATGTCTTGAAATAATAAATCACAAATGCTTCATATTTTAGTATATGTTCTCTTTAGTGCAACTTAAATTTTAACCTTTTAAATGGCTTGCTCTCTATGGTTTTAGAATGAGGCATGACGGTTGCATAAAAGAGACCGCTGTGCAACTTGGAGACATCAAGTGGCTTTAAACACAATGCAAACACGCTGCTTCCCCAAACACAACGCAAACACACTGCTTCCCCAAAGCCTTTCAGCTGTCTGAGTTCTATGACCATCATATAATATTAACAGTGATCATGGTGAAAAGCTACAGAAATGTTTTTATTGGCCAAATATCATTTTTACATATATTACTTTAATGTAATAATCACGCAATGATTAAATGCTATTATTCCTATTTGATAAATAGACAAAGGCTCAGAGACCTTAAATAATTTACCCAGGGTGCACACCTGCTGAATGGAGGCAGTACGTTCTCTGCCTGAAGGCTTGCAAAGGGTGTTCCGTACTCTGCAGCTTCGTTTAGAATTATGATTCAAAAAGAGCAGACATTCATTAATAAAGATGCCTCGGACCAGGAGGCGGTGATAACAGAAATGAGGACTGGGGTGGAAGCAGCCTTCTCTGCCCTGTCTCCTGGGCTCCACCGCCTGCCCTGTGGACTTACTCAAGCCAGGAGCGGTGCCTCCCTCGCAAACCTCCGCCTCTGTGGCCCCGGGCAGCATGTGCAACATGGTGAGGATACTAACAGCAGCTACCTCATAGGCTGCTGTGATTAACAAATCAGTAAGGATATTTCCAGGGCTTGGAACCCTTCCTGACAAGTAAACATTTGCAATGACTCTTAGCAGTGCATTCTATAGATCAGTAATGTCAACTAACTAGATCAAATATCAATATCAGAAAACACACTTGCACACACCAAGCACTGCCACATCTATAATCTAAAAGTAAATAATTGCTAGGCTAATTACAAATTGGCTGTTTTCCCATGTAGTTATTTTATTTATTGTGTGAACTGATATTATTCTGGAGTCTCCCCTTCCGTGAACCTCCATGTCTGTCACATTCTCCTCCCCTCCACGCCAGGACCCCGCTCCGAGACGCCCTCTCGGCTCCATCCTAGATCCTGGCTGCTGTGTCCTTACCTAGCTCCTTGTTTCCCTGCCCCACCCACAAGGCATCTCGAGGGAATCGAACGTGAATGCATTTGTGTCATCCCAGCTCTTACCGAAAGCACTCCAGTAGGTCCCGCTGCTGGGTGAGTAAATCTCACGTTCCCCGCACTGGCAGTGACACACTTCCAGGAACTGGCCCCAGCTCGCTCGAATGTCTACCTTCCACCGGCTCCATGGTGCGCGTCTCCCACCCATGCCACCGCAGGGCTGTGCGCTCACTGCATCCTGAGTGCCCCTGAGCCCCGCTCCACCTCACTGGATGCTGCCGATCCCACAGGCTGCGGAGTCCGTCCCCCACGCGCCACTGCCCAGAGTTGCCGACCCGTGGACTCTCCCTTCCTGCCTCTCACATGCGCGCTGGACTCGATAGTGTGAGCTCTGCAGAATGTGCTGGAGCTCCGTGTCTCAGGGCAGCGCAGACGTGATGGCAGGGCAGACTCAGTGACCTACGGCAGCTCAATGCCCAACTCACCACGCAGAGGTCACAGAAGGACAGGCAACAACTGCCAAAAGCACTCATTTCCTAGTGACACAATTCTGTTAGGGCCACAAGTGCCAACTCTAAATCCAGCCACCCAGCATCTCACATAGACATCACACGTGTGAGCATTAAATGCACGCTCATTTCCTAGTGACACAATTCTGTTAGGGCTACGAGAATTCAGCAACCCACATCTCATGCAGACATCACACGTGTGAGCATTAAATGCACGCTCAGGTCCTACTGATACAATTCTGTTGGGGTCACAAGGGCCAACTCTCAGTCCAGCCACCTGGCATCCCACACGGATGTTGTGTGTGTGAGCACTGCCACAGTCAAGGGACCTCAGGTGAACACAGCTTTGCCCTTTTCTCCATTTGTCCAAAACAGGAACATGGCAGTCGCCCCCAAGCCCCTGTTGGGAACGCACAGTGGTTTCTGCCCTGCTTAGAGCACCGTGACTGAGATGCCCCGTGCAAACGAAGTGGCAGCCACACATGACTCGCCACCTCAGGAACAGAACACGGAGGAGACGCTGTTGTGAGCTGAAGATCAGCTCCTTAGCAAGACCCATCTATCAGGCACATGGCTCTTACGCACTGCAGCACAGAGGCTGCAACCTCCCACGTCAGCTTCTGGAAACCACAGCTCCACTTCACCTTCTGCCTCAACTATCTGCTGTATCTATGTTCACCTAAAATGTTATTGTCTATCAACGGTTCACAGACAAGGAACAGGAGAAATGCGTCCTGGGATTGCAGGGACGATGGCAAAGTCCTCTCCAGGGGGTGCCGTGCAGGGAGGAAGGTGGTACCTGTCACTCATAGCCTTCTGCGTGGGTGCCTCCTCCCGGGGTCTCCATCCATCAATCCCTAGCCCAGCCTGGGGAGCACGGGGCTGCTTTTGCTTCAGTATTGCAAATTTACATTCTTCCCATCGTTTGTTCATTTCTTATTTAACTTTAAAGTTCAGGGGTAAATGGGCAGGTTTGTTTTAGAAGTAAACTTGGGTCGTGGGGGCTTATTGTATAGATTATTTCACCCCCCAGGTATTAAGCCTAGTACCCATTAGTTAATTCCTGATCCTCTCCCTTCTCCCACCCTCAACCCGGCCCCACTGTGTATGTTGTCCCTCTCGGTGCCTGTCAGTTCTCCTCATTCAGCTCCACTTAGAGGTGAGAATACTATGCAGCCACTAAAAAGAATGAGATCACGTGCCCTGCAGGAACATGGATGGAGCTGGAGGCCATTATCCTTAGCAATCTAACACAGGGACAGAAAACACTCTTCCCATTGTTAAAGATCAAACAGTGCACTCAAGCTTTAATTTTTCTACAGACCACGAAACACGTTAAGTGTACTGCCCTTGCACACGATGTGTGCCACCCACACTCGACAGTAAGTGTACTGCCCTTGCACAGCCACCCACACTCGACAGTAAGTGTACTGCCCTTGCACAGCCACCCACACTCGACAGTAAGTGTACTGCCCTTGCACAGCCACCCACACTCGACAGTAAGTGACTGCCCTTGCACAGCCACCCACACTCGACAGTAAGTGACTGCCCTTGCACAGCCACCCACACTCGACAGTAAGTGTACTGCCCTTGCACAGCCACCCACACTCGACAGTAAGTGTACTGCCCTTGCACAGCCACCCACACTCGACAGTAAGTGTACTGCCCTTGCACAGCCACCCACACTCGACAGTAAGTGTACTGCCCTTGCACAGCCACCCACACTCGACAGTAAGTGTACTGCCCTTACACACAACATGCACCACATTCGACGGTAAGTGTACTGCCCTTGCACAGGACGTGCACCACACACACTCAACGGTAAGTGTACTGCCCTTGCACACCCACACACACTCGACAGTAACTGTACTGCCCTGGCACACCCACACAGACTCAATGGTAAGTGTGCTGCCCTTGCACACCCACACACACTCGACGGTAATTGTACTGCCCTGGCACACCCAGTCGACGGTAAGCATACTGCCCTTGCACACTGACACGCTTGATGGTGTGCTGCCCTCACACACCCACACACACTCGACAGTGTGCTGCCATTGCACACGATGTGTGCCACACGCACTGGTTCTTGTGTGAAATTACAACAGATAATCCATGGTGATGCAACACAGAAGACTAAGAGCTGGGCACGGTGGCTCCTGCCTGAGATCCCAGGCACACGGGCCTGAAGCAGAGGACTGCTTGAGCTCAAGACCAGGCTGGGCAACATTGTGAGGCCCCTTCTCAAAAATGATAATAAATGAATCAAAGAAATCAGAAGCGTGCTTCTGGTGGCCAGGGTGTAACTGGGATTTGGCAGGAGGGAACGCTCTGCAGTGTGGAAGAGTTCCACGTCTGACTGGCATGTGGGTTACATGGACATATGTGTAGCTAGAATCTGGGCACTTCACTGTAAGTTATAAGTCAATTAAAAAACAAATCTGGCTTTATCAGAAAAAAGTGTAATTTACGTCCTCAGTTTGGAAAAGGAGGAAGTTCACGTCACTGTGAAGGCACATCCATTTTTACTTATTTATTGAATGTTATGGAATTGATACAACATGAACATTCAACAATTCTTTGCCAGTGCTTCTCCATTCAAATAAAAAAATTATGTGTTCACTTTAACTGGCTAGTATAAAACACCAAGTATTTTAATTGCATTTACTCAAACAAGCATCCAATCTTTATTTCTAAAGGCACGGTTTAATTTCCCATCTACTCGTTATTTTGTTTTCACATAATTATTTGTACACTTTAGCTACTGTTATATACTGAATATCTTTCAGTCTATTCTTAGCAATCACTGGGTATAAATGTAAGGGTATGCCGTGAACCCTAAAATATTTTTATTCTCTAGTTCAAAATTTTGTACTCCCATTTATATTTCATAAAAATATTATAGCTGTGTAACTGTATATTAAGGTGGCCCCTGATATTCCAGGGTCGCTTAATATATGTTTAAAACACAAATTAGGATTGCAATACACATAGAAAAACAGCTTTATTTAAAACTGCATGCAAAGGCAACTTGGAGAGTTAATTTAATTACACAGTGCCAAATTAATTCCACCGTCTTGAGTAAAAGGAAACTTGGAGAGAGGTGGAAGCCTCATCCCAGCAGCCAGGTGCCTGTGGGGCAGCCACGTCTCTTGCAGAGCCTGCTGGGGACGCTCCTGAAGGTGTGGACAGCAGGGAGCTGAGCCTTCCCAGAAAGCTGGCAGCACAAGTGTCCATCGACTGCACAGTCAGAGTCCCCCAGCGAAGCACTCCCTCCACCCACAGCCTCAGCTGGTGCCTGGCCACCTTGGCACAGGCGAAAATGGGGGGTGGGGGAATGAGAGAGCTGAGTGCTCACCCACCCCCACTCTGCATCTAAGGCCTCTGAAATACTCAGCCATCCCATCTCCCAAATTGCAAAGTGGAGAAAAACAACAGGCTTTGCCATTTACTTTCTTTGGGCACTTGAGGGATTAAAGAAATTAAGTCCCTGAAACACTCCAGGCACTTTGGTATCGTAAACAGGTGTAGAAAAGTCACTTGATGCTTCTTTTAAAGCCTGTTTAAGTGTGCACATGCTCTTAAAACTCAACCCCTTATAGAAGCTGGGAGTTTTACAGCAGGGGCTCGAAATTAATCTGTAGGGACCTAAAGCTGGTGAACTGGAGACGAGACCAGGGCGGCGTGGGCCCCAGGTGCAGAGGCCGGTGTGCCCAGGCTGAAGGGGCAATGGTGTGGGGCAGGGGGGCTCCTAACTGAAAGAGCAGTTGCAGCTGAATCACACCCACACCCTCTTGTGAGAAACCAGGGTGGACAGATGCTGGCGGTGGGCACAGCTGACCTGGGTCTTCCCTGGAATTGGCAGAGAATCATTGCAGGTAAGACTGTCTCTGAGCCAAAGGGGAAGAAAAGCACTGCCCAGCAGTTGCTAAAACTTCTACATTTTGTGCACTTCCCAAAATCCATTCAAGGTGGGTTTGAGAGCTGAGCTGCATTTATACTTCAGAATCTGGGCAAAATTAAGTAGGAGCTAAGCTTACCTAAAAAAAAGAGAGATGTCTAACTTTGCCTAAAAAGGTGCCTTTCGTTAAATCCCAGTTGAAACCAAGTGCTGTGTTTGTCAACGTTACTTGATATTTATGTTCAGCTGTTTTAATAAGGACGTCTATTATTATAGCAGAAGCAGGACAGAAACACAGAGTGAGTGGGGGCACCAACCCCCAAATCCATTAAGGAAGCCTTAGGAACTCCCTCAACCACTGCCACCGCCACTGCTGCCGCCCCTCCGCAACCCCGGCCAGCAGACACTCTCTCCAAGCGCAGGTCTTGCCCAAATGAGAAAAGAACAATTCACAGCCCTCTAACCTCACCCACCAAATGCTATCACGTGGTAACTCCATAAATCATCTCTGGGACATTACCTGCTTATGCACATTTAACTACTATCTTCCTGAATTTAACATTTCCCTGCCTTCAGGCAGTCCTCCGGGGGTCCCTAGTTCTCTCCAAGGCCTTGGATTCTGGGGTAATGACTCTGACACCACCAGCTCAGGTCCCAGAGCACCGTGTCCCATGAGCTGAGAGGCACCAACCACCACTGGCCATGGCCGAATCCCTTCACCACCACTGGCCACGGCCACAGCCCTTCACCGGGAGATGCTGTGTTGGAGATGTCGATCACTGAGGCCTCAGCTGGTGCTTCCTGAAGGCTTTGCTGGCCGGAATGCATCTCCCTGAAATTCATATGCTGAAAGGGAGCCCCCACAGTGGTGGTATTATGAGGTGGGGCCCTTGGGAGATGATGAGGTAAGAGGCCCTGGAGAGCTCCCTCACCCCTTGTACCCTGTGAGGGCACAGCAGGTGTGGTCTACACACCAGGAAGCAGCCCTCACCAGACATCGAACCTGCTGGCATCTCAATCTCAGACTTCCAGCCTCTAGAACTGTGAGAAATAAACTTCTATTATTTATAAATGACCTAGTGTGGGGTATTTGTGACAGCTGCCCAAATGGACTAAGACAGGCTTTGCCTATTTTCTCTGAGGTTGAAATGTAATGAAATAAAAGTCATCTAAGAGTAAAGACACAAACAAATGAAGCAACACAATCGCAAGCCAGAACAATGGTGCTAATATCTGACATCAACACCATGCATTCAGAATCGGGTCTCGTGCATCTGCTCCGGTGTGCCCAAAGATGGTGGGAAAGTCAGGAGGCCTCCTGACAACAGATGGCAGAACTCGGGCCAGGAGACCACACATTTTTCGATCTGGTAAACCTGATAAAACAGCCAGGCTTATGATATAATGCCTCTCCTGAGCAAAAAATACTCCAAGAACATACGGAGAAAAGATAAATAAATATGGGCAATGGCAAGGGATCTAAAATAAAGCACAATCACAGGACACAAGACAAACCGCATAGCTGAACTGCAAGAAAAGATGTAAGGGCCCCAGCAAAGTTCTTCATTCATGGGGTGCTGGGCGTGCGTGCGTCCACTCGAAGGCTGGGACTTTTAGACCACGTATAACAGGTTAGACCATGTTGACTATATTGTTATAATATGCCAAAGAAAGTATAATTTTTTGAAGTGTTAATGCGACATCAACGATGATCTCAAGGACTGACTTTTCCCAGTTTCCAGAGCCTGGCCACCGCTTGTGTGAACCGTGACTTGCTTGCTCAGTTCCCAGAATTGTGCTGCTTTGCTGCCATGGCATGAAAGGCAGGTCCTGTCTGAGTTGGTGACATATCTAGTCCTTGGCTCTCTCTGCTACTCCATGAGAGGGTGGAAAGAAGCCAGAGGGTGTGTTGAGAGAATGTGACCACCAGGCCTGCCTCCAACCGAGACCTCTTTCCACAGGGACCCAGTGACCATCTCTTCTGGACCAGCAGACGGGGCTGCACCTGAGTGCACAACAGGCAGCATGGCAGACGGAGCCCTGGGCTGCCTCCCTGGTGACCTTCACCTTCCTGCCCTCTCGCCCAGCCTCCAACTTCTTCCCCGTCAACCCCACAAGGAAACACGACCCCTGTCGTGCACTGGATTGAGATGGGTGGGACCTGAGCATGAACAACGTCAATAAACCAGTTAAATTCACAGGGCGGCTGTGAGGGCAGGATCTCCAAGTGTAGTTCCTTCTGGCTGTAATGCTCGTGACTACATTCATCGTTCTACATCTCATGTAAATACTCAGAACAAACACCCAAAGTGTAGATCTAACGGAGCTCACAGAAACTCTGGTGATATGGTTTGGCTCTGTGTCCCCACCCAAATCTCACCTCGAACTGTAATCCCCATGTGTGGAGCGAGGAACCTGAGGAAAGTGTCTGGATCACAGGGACGGTTTTCCCCATGCTATTCTTGTGGTAATGAGGGAATTCTCACGAGGTCTGATGGTTTGAAAGTGGCAGCATTTCCCACACTGTCTCTCACCTACCGCCATGTAACACGTGCCTTGCTTCCCCTTCATCTTCCACCACAATTGTAAGTTTCCTGAGGCCTCTCCAGCCATGTGGAACTGTGAGTCAGTTAAACCTCTTTTGTTTATAAATTACCCAGTTTCAGGTAGTATTTTTATGCAGTGTATGAATGGGCTTATCCATCTGGGAAGATGGACCAGTCAATATTTATCGGGCGGATGGTATGACATAGGCCCTGTGCCAGCTCCCACATCTGCGAATCGCTTTGTCCTCACTTTGCAGATGGCAAAGCCGAGAGGGAGGATGCGACCTCCCCATGGCTATGTGGATAATAAACAACGGGCACAGGGTTTTAATCTAGGTTTGTGTAAATCCAATGCCGAGTGCCTTCCTCTATACTACATGCCCAAATAAGTATTAAGATTTACTTTCCCGATGAGGTATAGGGTGAATGACAAAGATCTAGTTATTCATTCACACAGAGCAGGTCAAGAATTGAGCTCTTAAAGGTGCTGATATCTAACCCCTAAAAGTTTGACAAAACCAAGCCATGGCAAAACACAAGGGATGTATTTATTCCAACACCCTCCAAATTTCTCAGAGACAGACTGGCATTTAGTCATGTTCCTACTGTCCTAATGGAGTCGCATATAGAGCTAGAACACAATGTTCTCCCTTCCACTGACAGCCTCAATGAAACATGATAAACAACTTTTATTAGCCCAAGTACATATATTAGTGATCAAATTATGCTTTTATAATAGTTTCCTTTTTATAAATGAAGGCTATTTTAGTCACAACTATGATGGTAATGTAATTTTTACAGCTAATGATATTCTTCTGGACTCTTTTAGATTAGATGTGCTACAGAGATTCACAGAAAACTAAGCCCACACGTACATGTATTGATCTTCCCCATGAAATGCACTATTGGGCTAAATTTAACACACTTCTTAGGTTTTTTTTTTAAAATCAAGCATGTGAAGACATTTCTGTGCTCACTGCGGGTTACTAGTTAGTAATTTTATGGCCATAGCAGAAATGTCATCAGATAAATTTTAACATTTAACAAAATAGATTCTTCCAGATCTGAAGACAGAAGGTAGCAAAAAAGTGTGGGAAGGGGAATCCTAGAATAATTTTATTGGAAAACTAAATTTAGTTTTGAGTTCCATCCAAACTCTCTCCTGTCATCTGACTACTTTTATAGGGAAATATCTAATTTTCATTCTTGGGGGAACTAGAAAGGGGAATTAATTTTCTTATCATCATAAGAAGGGTGATGAACAACATAAGCTCTCTCAGAGCTGCCTCCTGCCTGTCTCACCTTCTTTCCCTCACTCACTTAGGATTTTGTAAACATAGATAAACAGAACTCAGCTGCTATAGTCTAGATGATGGTAATGATGGAGGTAGTGATAATGATGGTGGTGATGATGACAATGATGATAGTGATAGTAATGATGATAATGATTTTGGTCATGGTAATGATGGTGGTGATGGTGATAGTGGTGGTGATGGTAATGATGATGGTGGTGATGGTGATGATGACAATGATGGTAAAGACGACGATGATGATGGTGGCAGTAATAATGATTTTGGTGATGTAATGATGATGACGACAATGATGGTAATGGTGGTGGTGATGGTAATAATGACTTTGGTGATGGTAATGATGATAATGATTTTGGTGATGGTGATAATGACTTTGATGATGGTAATGATGATGATGATGGTAATGGTAATGATGACGATAATGATTTTGGTGATGGCAATGATGGTGGTAATGGTAATGATAATGATTTTGGTGATGGTAATGATGATGGTGGTAATGGTAATGATAATGATTTTGGTGATGGTAATGATGGTGGTAATGGTAATGATGATAATGATTTTGGTAATGGTAATGACGGTGGTGATGATGGTGGTGATGATGGTGGTGATGGTGGTGATGGGTATGTGGGTAGACTTATCACATTCCCTGCAGAATAGCAATTTTTCTGTTTTTCCTTCTTCCTTAGAATCCTGGAAAATGTACCTAATTCCTAACTCACCCTTCAATACCCAGTTCCAGCCCGACTTAGATCTCCCCTAAGCCCTGAGCCCTCTGTCACTGTTTAACACTGCTCCCATGACCCCTACAACAGCCCAGGCATAGCTGTGTCATGAACAATGGGATCGAGCGGAGGAGCCAAGATGGCCAAATAGGAATAGCTCCAGTCTACAGCTCCCAGCGTGAGCGACACAGAAGACGGTGATTTCTGCATTTCCATCTGAGGTACCAGGTTCATCTCACTAGGGAGTGCCAGAGGTGGGCGCAGGTCAGTGGGTGCGTGCACCGTGCGGGAGCCGAAGCAGGGCGACGCATTGCCTCACTCAGGAAGCGCAATGGGTCAGAGAGTTCCCTTTCCTAGTCAAAGAAAGGGGTGACAGACGGCACCTGGAAAATCGGGTCACTCCTACCCGAATACTGTGCTTTTTCCGATGGGCTTAAAAAATGGCGCACCAGGAGATTATATCCTGCACCTGGCTCAGAGGGTCCTACGCCCATAACGTCTTGCTGATTGCTAGCACAGCAGTCTAAGATCAAACTAGGCGGCAGGGAGGCTGGGGGAGGGGCGCCCACCATTGCCCAGGCTTGCTTAGGTAAACAAAGCAACCGGGAAGCTCCAACTGGGTGGAGCCCACCACAGCTCAAGGAGGCCTGCCTGCCTCTGTAGGCTACACCTCTGGGGGCAGGGCACAGACAAACAAAAAGACAGCAGTAGCCTCTGCAGACTTAAATGTCCCTGTCTGACAGCTTTGAAGAGAGCAGTGGTTCTCCTAGCACACAGCTGGAGATCTGAGAACGGGCAGACTGCCTCCTCAAGTGGGTCTCTGACCCCTGACCCCTGAGCAGCCTAACTGGAGGCACCCCCCAGTAGGGGCAGACTGACACCTCACGTGGCCGGGTACTCCTCTGAGACAAAACTTCCAGAAGAACGATCAGGCAGCAGCATTCGCGGTTCACGAAAAACCACTGTTCTGCGGACACCGCTGCCGATACCCAGGCAAACTGGGTCTGGAGTGGACCTCTAGCAAACTCCAACAGACCTGCAGCTGAGGGTCCTGTCTCTTAGAAGGAAAACTAACAAACAGAAAGGACATCCACACCAAAAACCCATCTGTACATCACCATCATCAAAGACCAAAAGTAGATAAAACCACAAAGATGGGGAAAAAACAGAGCAGAAAAAATGGAAACTCTAAAAAGCAGAGCACCTCTCCTCCTCCAAAGCATCACAGTTCCTCACCAGCAATCGAACAAAGCTGGACGGAGAATGACTTTGACGAGATGAGAGAAGAAGGGTTCAGACGATCAAACTACGAGCTACAGGAGGAAATTCAAACCATAGGCAAAGAAGTTAAAAACTTTGAAAAAAATTTAGAAGAATGTATAACTAGAATAACCAATACAGAGAAGTGCTTAAAGGAGCTGATGGAGCTGAAAGCCAAGGCTCGGGAACTATGTGAAGAATGCAGAAGCCCCAGGAGCCGATGTGATCAACTGGAAGAAAGGGTATCAGCGATGGAAGATGAAATGAATGAAATGAAGTGAGAAGGGAAGTTTAGAGAAAAAAGAATAAAAAGAAACGAACAAAGCCTCCAAGAAATATGGGACTATGTGAAAAGACCAAATCTACGTCTGATTGGTGCACCTGAAAGTGACAGGGAGAACAGAACCAAGTTGGAAAACACTCTGCAGGATATTATCCAGGAGAACTTCCCCAATCTAGCAAGGCAGGCCAACATTCAGATTCAGGAAATACAGAGAACGCCACAAAGCTACTCCTCGAGAAGAGCAACTCCAAGACACATAATGGTCAGATTCACCAAAGTGGAAATGAAGGAAAAAATGTTAAGGAGAGCCAGAGAGAAAGGTCGGGTTACCCACAAAGGGAAGCCCATCAGACTAACAGCTGATCTCTAGGCAGAAACTCTACAAGCCAGAAGAGAGTGGGGGCCAATATTCAACATTCTTAAAGAAAAGAATTTTCAACCCAGAATTTCATATCCAGCCAAACTAAGCTTCATAAGTGAAGGAGAAATAAAATACTTTACAGACAAGCAAATGCTGAGAGATTTTGTCACCACCAGGCCTGCCCTAAAAGAGCTCCTGAAGGAAGCACTAAACATGAAAAGGAACAACCAGTACCAGCCACTGCAAAATCATGCCAAAATGTAAAGACCATCCAGACTAGGAAGAAACTGCATCAACTAACGAGCAAAATAAACAGCTAACATCATAATGACAGGATCAAATTCACACATAACAATATTAACTTTAAATGTACATGGACTAAATGCTCCAATTAAAAGACACAGACTGGCAAATTGGATAAAGAGTCAAGACCCATCAGTGTGTTATATTCAGGAAACCCATCTCACGTGCAGAGACACATATAGGCTCAAAATAAAAGGATGGAGGAAGATCTACCAAGCCAATGGAAAACAAAAAAAGGCAGGGGTTGCAATCCTAGTCTCTGATAAAACAGATTTTAAACCAACAAAGATCAAAGTTGACAAAGAAGGCCATTACATAATGGTAAAGGGATCAATTCAACAAGAAGAGCTAAGTATCCTAAATATATATGCACCCAATACAGGAGCACCCAGATTCATAAAGCAAGTCCTGAGTGACCTACAAAGAGACTTAGACTCCCACACATTAATAATGGGAGACTTTAATACCCCACTGTCACCATTAGACAGATCAATGAGACAGAAAGTCAACAAGGATACCCAGGAACTGAACTCAGCTCTGCGCCAAGCGGACCTAATAGACATCTACAGAACTCTCCACCCCAAATCAACAGAATATACATTTTTTTCAGCACCAAACCACACCGATTCCAAAACTGACCACATACTCTGGAAGTAAAGCTCTCCTCAGCACATGTAAAAGAACAGAAATTATAACAAACTATCTCTCAGACCACAGTGCAATCAAACTAGAACTCAGGATTAAGAAACTCACTCAAAACCGCTCAACTACATGGAAACTGAACAACCTTCTCCTGAAGGACTACTGGGTACATAACGAAATGAAGGCAGAAATAAAGATGTTCTTTGAAACCAACGAGAACAAAGACACAACATACCAGAATCTCGGACACATTCAAAGCAGTGTGTAGAGGGAAATTTATAGCACTAAATGCCCACAAGAGAAAGCAGGAAAGATCCAAAATTGACACCCTAACATCACAATTAAAAGAACTAGAGAAGCAAGAGCAAACACATTCAAAAGCTAGCAGAAGGCAAGAAATAACTAAAATCAGAGCAGAACTGAAGGAAATAGAGACACAAAAAACCCTTCAAAAAATTAATGAATCCAGGAGCTGGTTTTTTGAAAGGATCCACAAAATTGATAGACCGCTAGCAAGACTAATAAAGAAAAAAAGAGAAAAGAATCAAATAGATGCAATAAAAAATGATAAAGGGGATATCACCACCGATCCCACAGAAATACAAACTACCATCAGAGAATATTACAAACACCTCTACGCAAATAAACTAGAAAATCTAGAAGAAATGGATACATTCCTCGACACATACACTCTCCCAAGACTAAACCAGGAAGAAGCTGAATCTCTGAATAGACCAATAACAGGAGCTGAAATTGTGGCAATAATCAATAGCTTACCAACCAAAAAGAGTCCAGGACCAGATGGATTCACAGCCGAATTCTACCAGAGGTTCAAGGATGAACTGGTACCATTGCTTCTGAAACTATTCCAATCAACAGAAAAAGAGGGAATCCTCCCTAACTCATTTTATGAGGCCAGCATCATCCTGATACCAAAGCCTGGCAGAGACACAACCAAAAAAGAGAATTTTAGACCAATATCCTTGATGAACATTGATGCAAAAATCCTCAATAAAATACTGGCAAAACGAATCCAGCAGCACATCAAAAAGCTTATCCAGCATGAACAAGTGGGCTTCATCCCTGGGATGCAAGGCTGGTTCAATATACGCAAATCAATAAATGTAATCCAGCATATAAACAGAACCAAAGACAAAAACCACATGATTATCTTAATAGACGCAGAAAAGGCCTTTGACAAAATTCAACAACACTTCATGCTAAAAACTCTCAATAAATTAGGTATTGATGGGACGTATCTCAAAATAATAAGAGCTATCTATGACAAACCCACAGCCAATATCATACTGAATGGGCAAAAACTGGAAGCATTCCCTTTGAAAACTGGCACAAGACAGGGATGCCCTCTCTCACCACTCCTATTCAACCTAGTGTTGGAAGTTCTAGCCAGGGCAATTAGGCAGGAGAAGGAAATAAAGGTTATTCAATTAGGAAAAGAGGAAGTCAAATTGTCTCTGTTTGCAGATGACATGATTGTATATCTAGAAAATCCCACTGTCTCAGCCCAAAATCTCCTTAAGCTGATAAGCAACTTCAGCAAAGTCTCAGGATACAAAATCAATGTACAAAAATCACAAGCATTCTTATACACCAACAACAGACAAACAGAGAGCCAAACCATGAGTGAACTCCCATTCACAATTGCTTCAAAGAGAATAAAATACCTAGGAATGCAGCTTACAAGGGACGTGAAGGACCTTTTCAAGGACAACTAAAAACCACTGCTCAGTGAAATTAAAGAGGATACAAACAAATGGAAGAACATTCCATGCTCATGGATAGGAAGAATCAATATCATGAAAATGGCCATATTGCCCAGGGTAATTGATAGATTCAATGCCATCCCCATCAAGCTACCAATGACTTTCTTCACAGAATTGGAAAAAACTACTTTAAAGTTCATATGGAACCAAGAAAGAGCCCGCATCGCCAAGTCAATCCTAAGCCAAAAGAACAAAGCTGGAGGCATCACGCTACCTGACTTCAAAGTATATTACAAGGCTACAGTAACCAAAACAGCATGGTACTGGTACCAAAACAGAGATATAGATCAATAGTACAGAACAGAGCCCTCAGAAATAACGCCGCATATCTACAACCATCTGATCTTTGACAAACCTTAGAAAAACAAGCAATGGGGAAAGGATTCCCTATTTAATAAATGGTGCTGGGAAAACTGGCTAGCCATATGGAGAAAGCTGAAACTGGATCCCTTCCTTACACCTTATACAAAAATCAATTCAAGATGGATTAAAGACTTAAACGTTAGACCTAAAACCATAAAAAACCTAGAAGAAAACCTAGGCAATACCATTCAGGACATAGGCATGGGCAAGGACTTCATGTCTAAAACACCAAAAGCAATGGCAACAAAAGCCAAAATTGACAAATGGGATCTAATTAAACTCAAGAGCTTCTGCACAGCAAAAGAAACTACCATCAGAGTGAACAGGCAACCTACAACATGGGAGAAAATTTTCGCAACCTACTCATCTGACAAAGGGCTAATATCCAGAATCTACAATGAACTCAAACAAATTTACGAGAAAAAAACAAACAACCCCATCAAAAAGTGGGCAAAGGACATGAACAGACACTTCTCAAAAGAAGACATTTATGCAGCCAAAAAACACATGAAAAAATGCTCACCATCACTGGCCATCAGAGAAATGCAAATCAAAACCACAATGAGATATCATCTCACACCTGTTAGAATGGCGATCATTAAAAAGTCAGGAAACAACAGGTGCTGGAGAGGATGTGGAGAAATAGGAAAACTTTTACACTGTTGGTGGGACTGTAAACTAGTTCAAGCATTGTGGAAGTCAGTGTGGCGATTCCTCAGGGATCTAGAACTAGAAATACCATTTGACCCAGCCATCCCATTACTGGGCATATACCAAAGGACTATAAATCATGCTGCTATAAAGACACATGCACACGTATGTTTATTGCGGCACTATTCACAATAGCAAAGACTTGGAACCAACCCAAATGTCCAACAATGATAGACTGGATTAAGAAAATGTGGCACCTATACACCATGGAATACTATGCAACCATAAAAAATGATGAGTTCATGTCCTTTCTAGGGACATGGATGAAATTGGAAATCATCATTCTCAGTAAACTATGGCAAGAACAAAAAACCAAACACCGCAGATTCTCACTCATAGGTGGGAACTGAACAATGAGAACACGTGGACACAGGAAGGGGAACATCACACTCTGGGGACTGTTGTGGGGTGGGGGGAGGGGGGAGGGATAGCAATGGGAGATATACCTAATGCTAGATGACGAGTTAATGGGTGCAGCACACCAGCATGGCACATGTATACATATGTAACTAGCCTACACATTGTGCACATGTACCCTAAAACTTAAAGTATAATAAAAAAAAATGGACTCAGGTTAAGTACTTGCTAACGTGTCTGTCTACATCCCTCTACTGAACGTTGGTTTAGGACCTCAACCAGGTACTTTATACTTGACTTTGTACCTCAGTGTCAGACACTGTAGACGTTCAACAAATGTTTGTCAACTGAATGGATGCTGATGCCCAACAATGTCCTAAGAAGTTCCAGATTTCCATAAACCAAGAATATTCCATTGCGTGCCTACTACCCTAAAGAAATTAACTTTCACAAACATTAAAACAAGGTTAAATTATGTGCAATATAATTTTAAGTATTACCTCAATGTGGGCCACTTATGATCATCTGATTAAAGGAAACTAGGGTGCAGTTCATGACTAAGATCCCCTGGGTCTGCAACACTGAAATTCCAGTCATTCATGTAGAAACACCATGGGTTTGACATGCATAAAACCCTGAAACTCTGCTTCCCTAGCAGCCGGGGACACAGCCTCTGCCCTGCCAGCCTCACCCCTCTCTGCCTTTTTCTTCCTGCTTAGCAACTCCCTGTGAGGTACACTGGTCTGCCCTGCAGTGTGTACTGGACTCGAGAAAGCCAATTACTTCTCTCCTGCTCTTGAAGTTGCTGTGGTTGAGGGTTTGTGATAAATTTCATGGAGTCAGACCTTTGGGGGCCTTTGCTTGTGAATTTCATGCATGTGCTTTTTTCTTCTAACTTTTTCGGTCATGTAAGTCAGGAGGCTTTTACAAATTGTTTTTTTCTTTTTCTTCTTTTAGAGACAGTGCCTTGATCAGTTGCCCAGGCTAGAGTACAGTGATACAATCACAGCTCACTGCAGCCTCAACCTCCCGGGCTCAAGCGATCCTCCCACCTCAGCCTACAGATTAGCTGGGACTACAGGTGCATGCCACCACACCCAGATAAGTTTTTGTAAAATTTTTTGCAGAGATGTTGCCTAGGCTGATCCTGAACTCCTGGCCTCGTGGTCCTCTCACCTTGGCCTCCCAAACACTAGGAGTGTTTTTTTCTTTCAAAATTCATAAGCTACTTAAATATAGTATTATCATTATCCATATGTAGAAAACCACGAAACAATACTTACATTTACCAGAGACCATTGTTATTGTATGTAAATTTTATTTTAATTGACAAATAATAATTGTATAATTTATTGAGAGGTAAACTGTGATGTTTTTTGATAGATACACGTTCACAATGTGGGGTGATTAAATCAGACAAGTTTGGAAACAGAGACGACATGCTTATGCGGCATTGACAGGAGACTCCGTATTCTTAGAAAGGATAAAATAATTGGAGAAATAAACACCATTAACCTGCAGGGATATTTCTCATGAATGTTCTGCCCTTCTATAAAAATGTCAGCAAAATGGAGCAATATATACAGTGAAAAGGAGGAGAAAAATCAAACAGAATATTCTAATGTGAAGGCTCTGCCCACTCCTTCCTGGAGACGAACAGAGGGTAAGAGCTTGAGCTATCAGAAGTCAAATCAGATGGCGCATTATTAAATGATCAACCTGGTTACATCTTCAAGGAGATGTCGGTCCTGAATGAAGAGGATAATTATAGGCCGGGGCCTCGGGAATAAGGAAGCACGGGGTGGTGCATCTTGCACGGGGACTGGGCCATTAGCCATGACTCAGGAAGGCAGCAGGAGGGTAGAAGGATGTGGTGCAGGCATTTGTTTAAAATATATAAATAAATTCAGACGCTGTAAGACAAACAAGACCTCAAAGAGGCCGGGGAAGGACAGGGCTGATGCCCTGGCACGGAGTAGCTAAGGTGCCATGACCTGAGAGAGGGCAAGAGCCTCCTCTTTAGATAACCTTGGGCAAAGAGCACCCATGGGTTACTGACGGGAGATTATTCAGTTTTCTTAATAATTAGCCACATTTTTTCCAAATATTACTGGAAGAAAAAAGTCAACAGCAACTACAAGAAACTGGATAATGGTTAAAACAGCAACCAACAAAATCTGTTATTATCTTAAAAGTGGCACATCTATGAAGCCTCCCTGAATGTTTTTTTTTTCCCTTAAATCTAACGTGGGAAAATTAGGCTTTTAAGAAATGATAGCCAAAGAAGAAAATTTAAAGTAACAGGAGGAGATACAAACTGTAAAATTTTAGAGTTCCTAAGAAAAACTGAAAGAGCAAATCTTCATAATATTGTTTGTAACACCTGCACAGCAAACTGAGCTAAAAACGTAAATTCGACAAATAAAATTAAAAATTAAAAAAGACGAAAATCATGTAACAGTCACACGCAGCGACTGCACAATTTCACAAGGGCAAGGGCCACTGCCTGTCTTGCTGGCTGATGTATCCCAGTATCTAGAACAAGGCTTGGCAACACATGCCATGCAAATCACCATCTGATGAGCAAATGTACACATTAATTAGTGCGATGCCCTTTGCACCAAAAACAAATGCACAGACACACATGCACACTTTGAGAAAAACCAGCCTCTGATCACAGCACCTGTCCCCTAAGACCCGAGCCCGGCTGTGCCAGCGCTTGGTAGCCAACGGCCGATGGTCCTGGGGCCCTGAGGGCTGATGCTGTATGCGCGTGCTCTCTCTCTCTCTCCCTGTCTCTCTCCCCATCTCTGTCTCTGTCTCCCTTCTTCTCCATCTGTCTTCCTCTCCCTCTGCCTCTGTTCCTCCCGCCCCCCCATCTCCCCCTCTACCTCCCTCCTTCCCTCCCACCCTCCCTCTCTCTCTGTCTCCTTTCCTCTCCCCCTCTCTGTCTTCCTCTCTCTCTATCTGGCAGCAGAAGTGCAGGGCCTGAGAGGGAAGGAAACATGTCATCTGGAGCGGCCCAGAGGGAGGAGAATCTTTAGCCAGGACCCCGGACTCCCAACACCCAACCCCATCCCTGAACTCATAACAGTCTCCAACTCCCAGACTCTCTAATGGGAAGATAATTTGGGTTTCTACAGCTCAACAACTTTATCATTTTCCACGATTGCATCTTGCATGTGTTTTTACAGGAGACGAGGTCAAGAGTGAGACCACAGAGAGACTGGAGCTGTCTCAGCAACGCTGACAAAGGGACCTGGTATTCTCACTGTCACACGCACACTTTCCACACGCAGCAGTCGGAAGCTTCTCTGAAAGAATGACTTTTCACATAGACCTCAGACATTTGTTTCGGGCCTGGAGGAGTCAGAAAGACAAACTTCACAGAACTGACGATGGAGATCCAGAGAATGCAGCTCAATTTCAGGCAAGGGCCTTAGAGACAGGCCCTGGCGGTTCTGAGCATGGCTCTTCCCTCTGACTTGGGCTTTGTGGCATCTGGGCTTAGAATATGACCCACAAGTACTTGGGCAGCATCCGTGGCACCACCGGGAAGGGAGGAAAGTTCCCACACGCCCAACCTGGTTACCTGGTTAACTCCCCCAACAGGACGTCAGCCAGTGAGAGCCAGGCCATCGCCTCCAGACTTTCACATGGGGCTGAATCGCAGCTCCAGAGAAACCAAAACGACGGGCCCTGGGAGGCTCACAGAAAAATCCCCACAAACCAAAACGACGGGCCCTGCGGGCTCACAGAAAAATCTGTCCCCACAAACAAAAACAAACCCTGGGGGGCTCACAATCAGTCCCCACAAACCAAAACGAGGGGCCCTGGGGGGGCTCACAGAAAAATCTGTCCCCACAAACCAAAATGACGGGCCCTGGGGGCTCACAGAAAAATCCCCACAAACCAAAATGACGGGCCCTGGGGGGCTCACAGAAAAATCCCCACAAACCAAAATGACGGGCCCTGCGGGCTCACAGAAAAATCTGTCCCCAGCACAGGGAAGAGAAGACGGCGCCAGCGTCAGCCTTAAGGACCGAGTCTCACTAGAGGAGATGAAGGAAAGCGTCTCGTCTAAGAAAAACCCTGAACACTGAGTCTTAGAGGGCTCTCGTCTAGGAGGCCTGGCAGGCGGCTCCACCACCTCACCCGGAGGAAGCCAGGGCCCGCGGACGCCGGACTTTCTCTCCTGAAGGGAGCCCAACAGCAAGGACGTGTCGGCAGCCGCAGTGCTGAGCAGAGCTCCTGAGCCTCCGTACCCAAGCACACCCCGCGGGCAGCTGCTTCCTCACCGCTGCCATTTAGAAAACAGAAGGCAGGAAAGTCCTGCACCCGCGGCGGCCGCGTTACTCCCACCAACACCAATTACCACCGAATGTGCCCAGTCATTACAAGCAGCTCCTGAAGCGTTTTCTCGATCCCCGGCCCTCCCCAGGCGGCCGCCTGCAGCCTCTCCCGGGCCCTGCGCTTCCGGGGTCAGTTACACAACCGCGTTCTTGGCTCACGCAGCTCTCTGCCCCAAAAGCACCTTGCTCACACTCGCTAATGAATCCCAAATCCTACAGCTCCCGAGTCTTTGGAATCTTGGTGAATAAATAATTGTCACTGGCATCCACAGAGTTTGCTTCCTGCAGGGAAGGGTCCCAGAGCATCGGACACAGGCCTCCCCTCGCCCAGCGTGGGGCCGCCCGTCTCCAGCCGGAACCGCGGACCCGCTGAGCGGAGGCGAAGGGAACACGACACCCCGGGAAGGCCGGCAGCAGGCAGGGGGTGCGGCACAGCCCGCGTGGTCCCGTCTGGGAGTTTAATATCTCAGAACAGGGGACTCCCCAGAGGGAGGCGATTGGGAGGAGGCGCAGCTGCCATCGTCAGTTTTTCACTGGCACAGACACGTCAGTGGCCTCCGGTACTGGCGCTAGTTTCAGTGCACGTGCGTCCTGGCCACGGAGGACAGGAGGAGGGGACAAGACACACGATCACCCCAACACGCCGCAGCCCCGGGCCTCTTACCAGCCGAGGACTCCACGTTCACACTCCAGGGCCTCACCTCGGAGTCCTACACCAAACACCAAAGCTCCCAGGTGGATGGGATTCCTTGAGGGCCTCAGGTGCCTTCTACCAAGCTCTGACTTTCCTCCCCAGATGGCAGCCCCCTCAGCTGAGCAAACGGAGGACAAGCCATCGTGGACCCCAGCCCAGCACCCTCTTCTGGTGCCCCCGTGCCGGGGCTAGCATCTGCCCACAGCAGCACCCAGGGGACCTCCCGAGATCAGAACTGGGCCGTTTGGCGGCCACAGCGCCGTACAGACAACAGACACAGTACAGACAACGGACACAGCCTCCATGGCTGAATCTTCCCAGTCACTCCCTGGGGCTGTTTGCACACTAAACTATATTATGGAATTAATATTATGAAATAAAAATATATCCAGAAAACACTCAACCTTCTAAGCCCTAAGATGGAACTTCAAGCTATGCACGCTCACATTGCACATCATTTATTCTGAATGTCATTGACTATTACCAGACTACTGGATAGTTTATATTTTGATCATTTTAAAACCTGCTTAATTTTCTCTGTATTTATGGTCTCTGTTCCTAGTGATGCTAGCAGTGAGTTGCATATTTCTCTTCCACGAGTAGAAACAGACTGCTTTAACTGATGCATTTTCCTATTGAAAACAATATTCTTTCTCTTCTACCTAAGACGTCTCCACCACCAGTGTGTGTTGTTTCAGCCACTGCTCAATTCACGCTGGCTAGAAACAAACATGTAATGGAGTCAGACTCACCTACGCAGACGCCGGTGCAGGGTAAACACTGGCAAATATTTGTGAAATGAATAAATGAATAACGACACTCTCCATTCAAAATGGATGAATCGCCGCCTCCCTCGCCTCCGAGTTCTGCAGCACTGGCCGCCCCTGCTGCCGGGAGGGCTTCCTGCCTCCGTAGCCTCCTGTGGAATCTGCCCCACGGGCTTACGGGCATTAATGAGATAAGAATCAGCTGGAACTTCTGCTGCAAACGCAGGCTCCGGGCTCCCCTCACAGGCCGCTGGTCCAGCCAGTGCATCTTGCCAGGCCCAGGCACCTGCATTCTAGCAGGAAGGCCCTCAGGTGACTCTGACGCACCCCTGACTTGGCACACGGATCTCCTCTCTATACCTAAAGCCCCAAGGGTGGGAACCACGTCTCCTTCGAGCTTGTGCTCCAGAGGGCACCTGCAGGCCGTGAGCACAGGAAGCCACCAAGAGGCACCAATGTGGCCTCTGTCTATCCCCAGCAGGCCTCCAGGAGCCCCGTGGGTGCACCATGGCACCCGGGGGAGGCTTCATCTACACAGGACGGCTCCACGGGGCTGGACCATACGTGCCCTGAGACAGAGACATGGACCCCTGGTGTGAGCCCTAGGTAGGCTCCATTTCCCTACAGGCGTTCAAACCCCACCACCATGTGCATGACTCCAGGGCCGAGTCTCATCAGCTCATTCTGTGGAGCGGAGTTTGGGAAGGCGCCGATTTTCTACCTGAAATGTGAGTGTGTGTCTGCTAGGAGGTCTTCTCCCTGTGCCGGCCCCCACACATCCCAACAGAATTTGTCCCTCACTCTTAGGCCAGTTTGCAAGATCGCTGAGCCCTCTGCCAGCATTTAAAGCCTTTTGATCTCTGTTCCAGAGAGAACCTTTGATCAGGAAGTTGAGAAGCTCAGTGAAATCTTCCACCTGCCTGTAAAACGTTAAGCCCGCCTTTCCACTTACCATCTCCTTTCCTACAACACCTAGTTCATGCCTGTTCCACACCAGGCCCTGGGCTGGTGTGGTCAGCTTGTGTATTTAAAACCAGCTGATGGTTCTATCCATGCCAGCCACAAAGACATCTCTGCATAGTAGGATACATCGATGTGTTTACAAGCTGACATAATGCAAACTGTTAATAAATGTAAGACCGTTTTCTATTCCTCACTGCTGATAATTTAGTAATAACAGCCATAAAAGTAAACCTGCTGGAATAGGCAAAGTGTCTTATCAATTTTTTAAGTACCTTCAGGAATAAGTTGGATATAAGTAAATGCATTAGAATAGTATCCAATTATGAAATACATTCACCAACATCTTGGTGGCTATTTTTGCCACAGCTATGGGGTAAAATAATTCCTTAGGTGAAAAACCCAGATGACGGCCAGTCTTTAGTTACTTACCTGATTGCTAGACTCAGATTTAAACAACAAAAACAGTCAAACTAGAGGCGGAATCGCGTGCTGGTCTTCGAGGTGGTGAAAAAACCATCCCTGCCAGGCTTCCTCGCCTTCCTCGCCAGGCTTTGCATGGAAGGAGCCAGGCTCGGGGTGGCTTTACACTTTGTGGTCTGCACCATGCTGATGTTAGGGTCCGCACTGTCCTGGAGTTAGCCTCATTACACACACATTTAAGTAAAAACGAATGGGGCCCAGCGGAGAGCAGCCATCTCCTCCAAGGCCTGTACATAGAACTAAGTTGCTACTCCCCAAACTGGCAAAATAATGAGTGTAAGATAAAGGCATCCAAAGCAAAAACACGTGGACCACGTCCTTCTCAGTCTGCAGTCGAAAAAATGACCACAAAAGACTCCCCTAGCTGAATAAAAAGCACCTCCAAGGCTAGAGAAAATTATGCACACGTGCACACTCACGCCCGCGCCCACATCCCAGAAAACCTTAAGGCAAAGACCAGCACTTCCTTGCCCCGAGTTTGGGGCGGGGCTGATCCTCAGACTCTCCAGAAGGACCCTGCTAACCAGGCACGGGACCTGTCAATCACTGACTGCCGAGGGCATGTCAAAGCCGTGGTTCCATGCCTAGGTCCCCACCCAGCTGAAAAACTGTGCTATTTATACAGGTGTTTTCTACGGTGAACTGACTACTTCTAAGTAGCAGCCTCAGTTTTACATTGCCAAATAGTGCACAGCGATTCAGAGCAATTCCGAACCCACGGGCCGCGGCGTCAGCTTCCGGGCTGTGGGAGATGGAAGTTCCGCCTGTGAGGTGCCGTGGGGGCTCAGTTTACGACGACGGTCATCACAAACAGCGTGCAGGTGGTGCTGCCTCCTCACACTTAAAGACGCCTCCACAACGCCAAGACCTTTCAGGTGATGCTTATTTAAATTTTGTTCTAATCTCACAGGGAGGTGGGAGCAGCATTCTACAGCCTGGTGTCCATGCCTCCTTCAGGGGTTGGGGGGCCTGTAGACAGACACCCCTGCGGGGGCTGTGTTCAACCTTGTTCCAGGTAATCAATCAATAAACACAGAGCAACTTTTCATTCGTTCCTTGAATACTTCACTAGTATTTTTCAATGTATGACTGAAATCGTATAGCCTCAAACTCCGTATAACTAACTGCACCAGCCATCTGCGGAATGAAAATGTATATAAAATAACCAAAGTATCCCAATATTTCCATTCTGAGATATTTTTGATAGATGCAGGTATTCTTTCTCTGTTGTACAAATCTAGATAGAAAAATACACAGAAGAGTGTGCTGCTTCGTGAGTTGTTTAGAACACATCTTAGTAAAAACTCTAATAACTAAAAATCCAGTGTCTCCATAAACCAAGTGCAATGCTCCATACGTAAGGAACTCTGATAACTGCGTATTAATTGTCGACATACGATACATCTCACTAACCTGGGCTCTGAGATGCATTTTTGATCCCACAGAATAAATCAGTCCTGAAAGTAAACGATTTCCTGAAAATCAAAATCAGTATCCCTTATACCTCTTCTTACATTGTTTAATTACAAGTTTCCTTAAAGGATTAAACAACAGGAGACTCTTGAGACAGATAAAGCAGTAATTTGATTTCATAGATGGAACAAGAACCAAAACAATTGCTCACATTTATAATAGCTTTGACTAAATGCAGAGACCTCAACCTTGTCTGTATTTTTTATCAGACATCTTTCCAAGGATCACACAAATCCCTTAAAGGTGTCAAATGACCAGGTCTACGTTCTTCCCTCCTCAAGGGTAACAGAGCAGTGTGGCTCCTGGGTAAAGCTCACTGACATCGAGGTTAACAAGAAAGTGTTTTCATCTCTGCAGAAATACAGGGAAAGGAAGAGAAAAACATACAAAGTTCTGTACCTTTAAGAGGGGTCAGTCCATGCAAGTTTCCTTTGATTTTACTCATTTTCAGTTCCACTGGTCAGGCCGAACCCTCTAAGCATGTCCTTTGGAAAATAGGAAGTAAGAATCCCACTAACGGGGTCCCCAAAGTGACCAACACACAAGAAAAAAAACTGTGCAGTTGTCGATGTGGACAGAATCATGGAGGAGACTTCAAGGGGTCTGTGTGACTCGGAGCCACCAGGACCCGCGTGGCTCTGGGTGCGCAGCCCACAAAGGTCAAAGCTGCCGTGGACGGCGTCACTCACTAAACACAGAGTGCAACGGCCGTCTGCGGGTTCAAACAACCTGGCACCATACAGGGCTTCCACATAAACCATTCATTTCACAGGTATCGTCCAAAGCCATGAAAAGAGAGCAGTTTATATATAGGAAAACACTATCTTTAGAAAGCCACTCACATACACACCACTGGAAAGGTATAATTATTACATTAATAAACCCCAATGATCCAAGGTATAGTGACACTAATTGCAAATCAAGCATACAGTAAAAGTTGGCAATCTCAAATATAAGTCAATAAAACATCTTCACACACACTGTCTACTGAGGGAATTAGATTACATATGTACATACATACATGCACATATAACACACAGATACATGTACGCACATAATGACGTCTGCTGCTTCCTCAGTATAATGCACCATAATGGCAATTTTTTACATTGCCTCATTTTAATTCAAAAAGTTATATTGGCCACAAAATCATTATATAGCTTATTCAAACTGGCAAATTTAGGCTGACCAAATATGTTTGAGTTACATGAGCTTTAGATTAATAGCTGTAAATACGAAGCAGCATGGTCTATTAGAAAAACTAAATGCTCAGGCAGAACCTGCAAGGGGCAGCTGTGCAGCTGCACAGTGCCATAAGCTAGGGTGGGCCATGATTTAACCACTTTGGTGCCCAGGATTCTCCTCTGTAAAACTGGAATCTGTCTCTTGTATAACTCCTGATACTCTTGAAGGCACAGTGAACAGTGTGGATGATAACTGTTGACGTACACAAGGTGCCCAGAAGACTAAACAAGACGGAACACCGGCAGCATCTGAGATAGCGCCTGGGACATGCTTTGTGCTCAGTGAATGGGAAGTGCCCTCATCGCCTCCCTCCGATCCCAGGATGACCTTGTGTTGAAAAGGCTTTTCAAATGACGAAGCTCCACGCATAGGTGGGTGGCTGACGTTCTCTTGTCATGGTGCCATGTGTTATTTTTATTAAGAGCCTATTATTATTTGTATTAGAGTTTTAGAATTATCTTCCTACAGTACATTTGCCAAAGAGGACACACAGGTGAGAACAGCCCCAGAACAAACACAGCGCCACCGTTGGCTGGTCTTGCTCTGGGAGCCGGGACACAGAGCACAGCCTGATTGGTTCTGAAAGGCCCACGTAATTTAGTCTAAATCTAAGATGGGTCTTCAGGGGCTGGGAGATGGGAATGAAAACTTTAGACTGAAAGGGAATGAAAAACATTGCAAAATTTGGTTTCTAATTATGATTCTACCATTCCTAGCATGTACTCTTAAAAACAACAAGTTCTCAAGAGGACTCGAACTCCCTGAGGGCCGTCGTCGCTGGAAGTGCATCCATCGGTGAAATGGCTGAGCAGGCCATCTCTGAACATCACAGCCCGCATCTGTGCCACGAGAGGACATCCTCCAGCGTGTCTGGGGAATCGCGTGAATGCTCCCGGGAACTGCTTCACACACGGGGTACGGAACCCACAGGCTGATCACAGCTAAAGAGAGAGAACTTTTCCCCGCGGTCACCAGTAAATCCACAAGCCCAGGAAAGACCAAAGGATAAACCAAAGTCTGTCAAAACTTCTGTAATTAACTGACACCACCGAGTCCCTCAGAGGCTTCCTCTGAAGGTACCACTGAGAGCCTGGGGCCCTGGCCTGCCTGAAACTTGGAGGGGACTCGGGGGAGGAGCTGTAACAGTGGAGAATTAAGCACGGTGAAGACAAGGAACTCAAGGATGGACCGACTGGGAACCCTGAGTGGACGGCAGGGCCTTCCTGAGTCAGCCTCCTCATCTTCGCGTGGAAATCAGAACCTTTCTACCAACCTCTCTCAGTGTGAATGAAGCTGGATGAAAAATGCCACCTGGGAACAAAGCAAAAAGGAGACGTCAGCACCAGCCGGGGATCCTGAGCTGGGGCACCAAACGGGGGTGCTGAGTTGGGGTGCTGAGCCGGGTCGCTGAGCCGGGTTGCTGAGCTGGGGTGCTGGGCTGGGACGCTAAGCTGGGGCGCTGGGCTGGGGCGCTGAGCCGGGGCGCTGGGCTGGGGCGCTGGGCTGGGACGCTAGGCTGGGGCGCTGGGCTGGGGGGCTGAGCAGGGGCGCTGAGCTAGAGCGTGGCCGGGATTTGGGGGAGTCGGGGCCACTCCTAAAGACGCCTGACTTCTTGTGTGACGGGTTGTGCCACCCAGGCAGGTGAGATGGAGACGTGAGCGTGTGGCCTGGCACCGTGTGAGGCCTGACAGGGACACTGTGTGTGCCACGGCCCACGGCCAGACCCAGGGGCGTCCAGAGTGAGGCCACCGCCGCCTCCCCAACTCTCCTCCGGGCCACCAGGCTTCTGCAGCTCCCATCCTCTCCTCAGGAGTGGCTTTGGCTCTCCTTGGGTAAGCAGCGCCAAAACGGGAAGGAGGAGGAGACCTACCCGGGTCCTGGGTTTCAGGTTCATTGAAGCGGCCGCTCCCGGCGGCAGAGGGAGGGTCTGAGAGCTGCAGCCCCGGTGATTCACACACAGCCAAGCCCAGGGGAGGCTCCTAGGGAAGCCCCTGCACCTGCGGCCCCTGAAACAGGGCTCGGCTGTACCAAGAGCTTTCCTTGCTTAATGGCGGGAGGGGCATCAGCCGTGCGGGTGTCAGGGACGCAGCAGCAGCTGCAGAAAGTCACCGGCCCACAGGCCCTCTGCGACGGGGACTCCGTCAGGGGCAGCGCAGGAACGGGACGCCCACCCAGCCTCCCCGAGCCCCGAAGCTCCCTCGGCCTCTGCATACTGGCCTCCCCCGCCGCTGGATGCAGACAGCGCGTCCTTCCTCATCTTCCTCTCCACACACGCCGCTCGCCCACTCGAGATCGTGTGTTCATTCCACGAATGCCTGCAGCACCTGCCCCCGAACCGGGGCGTCCCAGCCCCACCGACCAAGGCCCCGCGCTCCAGGGACGCAGCCCGCGCGGACGGGGAAGTGAGAAGCGCTGGGAAGCCTCGGAGGGGCCTGGGGGCCTCGGAGGGGCCTGGGGGTCTCGGAGTCCGGAAAGACCGCGCCCATCGCGAAGCAAAACCCCGGCCAGATGTGGTGAGAGCTGGGGCTACCCTGCAACCTGCGAGCCTGCACCACACATCACACATCACACATCACATATGCTGTCGTCAACAGCCTCCTGCCATGGAAACTCTTTAGAAAAGTTCCCTCCAAGATTCCGAGAGTGAATTTTCTAAGGTTGCTAAAAGACTCCCAGGGAAGCCGGTGCGCCCGCCGCGATCCCAGCTAGCAGCCCCCTGGCAAGAGCTCCACTCGGAGACCATCCGGGGAGACCCCCCAGCCCGGATGCCCCTCGCAGGAAGCGGTGGGACTTTCCAGAGAGGCCAAGAAAGCGTGTTGGAAACCACTCCCTCCGGGAAGACGGAGTGCAGCCACAAGAAGAAGAAGCGACAAGTCATTCACGCATCTGTTCACTCATCCAGCAAGCGTTCCTAGAAACCCTGGTGTGTGCTGGGCAGAGGAGAGACGCAGGGGACACGGGACCCGGCCAGCCGCTGCCCCAGGGATACCCAGGGGACGGGACCCAGGCAGGGTTTAAGACGGCCCCTCCGACGAAGGCAGTGGCCAGGGTGAGAGGTGCTGGTGCCCAGGCAGAGGCCTGCGAGAATGAGTGGGAACAGAAGCAGGATGGGAGGGAGGGACAAGGCCCGGGAAGAAGTAGCCATTCACGTCCTGGTGAGGGGCTGCAGTGAGGAGAAACAGTAAGAAGAGAGACATGGTTCCTGTAGGCCGAGGACACTGCGCGTCCAGGTAGCAGACACTGGAGGGTGGAAGAGCAGAGCGGCAGCTGAAATCCTAACTCCAAGGCACCCCGGGCCTTTGTCAGGCCCACAGTCTTATTTTAGGGCGGGATGGACGGCAGGACTATAGAGGGTGCCCGGCCACAGTAAGGACTGGAAATCCTGACCGACTCCGGGAGAAAAGGCAGCTCGGTCCTCGACTGCGGAGGGGCCTGGAAAGCTAGTCCCGGCCTCTTCCGTGGCAGTGTAACTGGCTGCTGGGGTTTTTAATGGATGGTTAATCTATTTCTGTCTTTTCTTGTGATTGCGATGAAAGAAGAAAAGAAACAAGAAACTTAGCAGAAAATAAATGAAAAATTGCTTAATTTAGTTTCTCAGTTTTCTTCTGATCAATTTTCCCTGCCTTGTCTTTGAATAAGGGAAATCATTAATATGCACAAATTTACGGTAGAAGTGAGTGACACCTACTACTTTGATCAGTTGGAAGAGAGGGGCATCTGGATAAAATCGTGTCTCGATGTATTCGTTTGGGGGCAAATACTGGCACATCTCCACGCCTGGTCCTGGCTGTTCTGCTGTGCTGGGGGATCTCACAAACTCACCCCAGGTCAGTAACTCAGCTCTTCAAACCTGACATTAGTGTCATTTGCTTTGCAAGGCATTTTCTCTTTTCCCTTTTGCTTGGACGACGCCGTAGTGATTCACAATTACCCCTTACATTACCTCGAGGCATTCGATCTTTACAATATCCACATGAAGCCATCTGGTTTGATACTGGTGCATATCCATGTATGCACATTTTTAGTTCCTTATTTCTTTTTCCTGCTTGCTTGTTTCTTTTCTTCCATATTCCCCTTGTTTATGCTTGCTTCCTTTCAATAAAGTTATTTTTGAAAGGAAAACACAAGAAAAGAAAATTACTGAAAAATAAGATCACTGCAAACATGAAACCCCCTAGGAAAGGGGAGGAGACAGAAAAACGTCTCTGGGGTCCAGTGCACTTGAACTGATTTTCATGTCAGTAATATTTTTGCCAAGGAAAGTGCTAGATGCATTTATCAAGACCTTAGGTGGTGAAATTTTACCACTGAAATGAGATCTGCAAAACATTACGCTGTGTTTCCTAACAGTTATGACTGCAAATGTCTGCCGCTAAGCAGAGCTAATGACATTAAAATAATGTTAATGGTCTGGCAATGCAGGAAAAGCCTAGTTTTGATGAATTAGTTCTCATTAGACTCACATTCTGATACGCCTGTGAAAAGTCTAAAAAATATTGGTTTGTGTCTTTCACAATGTTAGTTGATAATTTTACTCTAATGAAAAAGAGGATAAAAACAGGTTAATTAACTCGGTGGGCACCATATACATCAACATTGGTAGAATGTGTTCCTGGATTCATTAGCGGGGAAAGGATTTCGTATAATCACGCGACTGGTAAGCTTTCTACGGTACACACTGCTGAGAAAGAGTGAACTGTACCATGTTCTACACTAATTAAATCAGTGACTAGAAAGAGGCGTGTTTAGAAGCCCGACTAAATTGCCTTTTATAGCTCTTGAGGTAGGCAAGTTATGATTTAGGCATAGCCAGTGCCAAAAGCTGATTTTTTTCCTTCCGAAGAAAATGACCCCAATTATCTGGGCATGTTCAGATCGAGACTGATGATTCTCTGGCCAGACCATGAGGAACCAACCACTCTGCCTGCCACACCGCTCGGAGCCTGGAAACTGAGGGGTCAGGCCCTTTGCAGGAAGAAAAGTGGAAATGCACTAAGTCAGGGTGGGTCAAAGCAGGGGGAGAAGGCCTCTCAAAGGTAGTTTCTTGAAATAAAAGCATTTCCTGTCTTTTAAAAGAATCTTAAGCATGAGTAAAGGAGGTAAGTTTCATTTTAAATTTCTACAGAATAGCTTGAATTAATAGTGCCAAATACATCAGAGAGGAAAAATGTTTGAGTGGGCGTGCTTCCATACTTTGCAAAAAGATGCTGATTTGCTTAAGTTCTAGTTTCCAAAGCAAATGGTGTGCAAGATAAATGGCTGTTTTGTGGAAGAACACGGCAGCATTTTTTGCACAGAGCCACTAAGAGGCAAAATGTGATGTAGGTTTGGCCCATCTGGTTTTAGACATAGCCGTTAGCTTCAGCATCTGGGAGGAAGCTGATTCTAAGCAAGCATGTTTAAGACAGTGATGATGCCAAGAGGTGGAAGACCCATTTCTCCCCAAACCCAAGTTCGCATCCTAGGAGGCCCTGCAGGCACCCCTGGGAGTTCCCTCCCCAAACCTCCCCTGCTGGGCCCCCCATGACATCATTCCATCAACCACCACCTTACTCACTGCTTTGCACTTTTTAAGTCATACAAAAAAGGGCCTTTGGGAGAGGAATGAACATACATTTTCCTATTTCACTATGACCAGATAACTGAAGGAAGGAAGAGTCTTCCAGTCATTCATAGCTCCAGAGACTCTATTTCATCCCGTTTAAATACTTAGTGTCATTGCATTGAGGCAACACGTTCCATCAAACTCTGTGTTTTAATGATGGTAGTTCTAGCGGGAAATTTAACACTACCTCACAATTTACATATGTTAAAAATGGCATTTGCAAAATAAAAAGGCAAAAGTCTGAATGCAAACATATTTCTAAAAGTCACAAAGTATTAGTATCAACAATATATAAAGAATTCGAAGGAAACAATAAGAAAATCACTAACACTCTCATAGCAAAATAGATAAATGTCTACAAATAAAATTTACAGAAGAAATATAGCCAGTAAATATTTGAACACATACTGTGCCTCTCAAGGAAACAGAAAAATGCAAACTAAAATGGAATATAGTTGTCATCTTCTAATTTGGAAAACATTAAAAATGAACTATAGCTCAATGCTAGTGAGGTTGAGGTGAGAAAACTACTCGCAGGTGTCTTGTGGGAACCAACATGTATTCCAACAACCAGAAAAGCAATCAGCCTTTACATATCAGGACGCTTCGCTGTTTATGGTATTGGACCCTTAATTTTACTTCCAATAGTTTGTTCTAATGGAATAACCAGAAAGAAAGCCAAAGATTTGTGTAAAAATAAGTTGACTGCAACAGTACAAAGAGTAGTTCGTGTAAACAGAACAACCTAAATGCCTGATCCTGGGGATGGAGAAGATGAGACGACGCCACCTGACAATCGGCCTCTTTGGCCTAAGCACCGCTTTGAGCTGAAGGCAAGAGAGAAACCACAGGCACCGGAAGAGCTCTCTGCCCTCCTCCTTTCTACCTAAAGCCAGTGCACTCATTTCCCCTTGCGAAGGTGCCCCTCACCTCCCTCACCAGGCAAAGAACAACCGGAATCGTCAGAGACGGAAAGCCTGCACTGAGGATCTGCAAACAAGCCTTACTAAGATAACCCTCCTCTCCCGTTCATCTTCGCACGTGTTCACCGTCCCAAAGCTGCCCCCGCGTAGGCCAAAGGTCCTTTTCCTCTGTACAGTGACTTCTCTGCATCGTGTTACCCTTTGTTAAAGTGCCCTATGAGCCCCTGAGTCTCCTGCTCCTCTGAGTTTTTCACTTTTTACTGTGGAGCTTCTTTTCATTTTTACTGTGCATGTAAAAATGTTAACATCAAGCAAAATGTGTATGACTTTTCTCCTATGAATCTATCTTTTGTCAGTTTAATTGGCAGACTCCAGCTGAAAAATGAAAGAGGGTAGAGGAAAAGTTTTTCTTCCTCTGCAGGGACGTGGTTAAGTGAATAAAAACGCATCCATGAGATAGAAGCCAGTCACTACCGATGATCATCTGAAAAAATGTTAATGAAATATCAAAATGTTAACATCGTTTTCAATGAAAAAAGAAAGTGGAGGACCAAATCAAAAACAAAGCATAACGATTACATATGTATGTATGTGTGTTTCATACATGTGCCTGCAAACATACAAAAAACAGAAATAATTATATCCAAATAATAATGATTATCTCAGAAAGTAATACTCCATATATTTTTCATGTCTGTCTTATTTTTAAAGTCAGAAAAACTTATTTGAGAAGTGGTGTTTAATATATTTCAAATAATGATATTTAGTTTTTCAGATTCTCACATAACACTTTTTTTCAGTTTTTAAGAACTCATCTATGTTTTTGAGTCTGACATGTATGCTCTCACTTCTATGTCCATTATTACATGGAAGAAAGTGTTATATTCATCCATTTTGTTTTTCTTTCTCTAGCATTAGAATAACCTCCAAGTTGAGCAGTGTCCAATCCTGTCAACAGGGCATGGACACCACCCTTCTCTCCTTGGATTTTCTAGAAGCCACAGTAGATTCATAGGAATGAGGCATGATGACAAATCCTCGTCTCTGTCCCAAGGGGAATTTTAAGTATAAAAGACAAATCTGGCACAGTCCTGCATTCCCAGATAGAAGATTCTTCAGCCTTCAGCTCTACACAGAACACATGGATACAAAGCCATGCCTAGGACAGCAGGGTAAAACTTTTAAAAACCAAAGGCAAAGAGAAAATATTATAAGAAGCCAAAGAAACGTAAGATTTAAGCAATGATACCATGCCCTGGCTTCCTAATAAAAACAGGGAAGGCAGAAGACAGTGTAATGACAGCTTTAAAAGGCTGAAACAGATAACTGCCAACTTACAGTTCTAGAGCTGAGAAAACATCTTTTTCATCAAAAGCCGAAATGAAGACATTTCTAGGCAAACAAAAATTGAGAGAATTTTCTTCGAAGAGATTCACACTAAAGCAAAAATTAGGGGAGCTCTTCAGGGAGGAACAAAACAACCCCAGAAAAAACAAGGAAATAAGTGAAGAAATGAAGAGCAAAGAAAGGTGAATATGTGGGTCACTAAATCTAAATATCAACCACACAAAACAATAACACTGATGTCTTACTGACCTTAAACATACATACAGAATTCGTATCTGTGGCTAAACACAGAGCAGGAAGATATCAGAGGAGTTAAAAGGTTCCAGGGTCTTGGCATTTTCTGGAAGGTGATAATAACACCCATCGGTCTGAGTTTCTAATAACCTAGAGATGACTGTGGTGATCCTCAGGAACTACTGAAAGTGAAAGTGACGAGTCAAGAGAGGAAAATGTGGAATAAAAAAGATAAATCTAGGTCAATACAACTGGATGCAAGAAAGGGAGAACAAAGAATATAAAATAAGTGGAGAATACAACAGGAATAGTAAGATGGCAGATGAAATTCCTGGATGTCATGAATTACATTTAATATATACAGTCTGACCAGATGAAAATAGAAACAACTATATGCTTAAAGAATAAAACTTAAATATTAGAATATAGTAAGTGTGAAAGTAAAATGATGAAAGAAGACATAACATGCAAATATTAACCCAAAGAAAACTGATATATACTAAAATCAGATAAGTAGATTTTAAGACTGAAATCACTGAAAGAGATAAAGAGGGTAATTTCAGGCCAGGCGCGGTGGCTGGTGCCTGTAATCCCAGCACTTTGGGAGGCCGAGGTGAGCGGATCACGAGGTCCGGAGATCGAGACCATCCTGGCTAACACAGTGAAACTCCGCCTCTACTAAAAATACAAAAAAAATTAGCCGGGTGCGGTGGCGGGTGCCTGTAGTCCCAACTACTCGGGAGGCTGAGGCGGGAGAATGGCGTGAACCCAGAAGGCGGAGCTTGCAGTGAGCCGACATTGCGCCACTGCACTTCAGCCTGGGCAACAGAGCGAGGCTCCATCTCAAACCAAAAAAAAAAGAGGGTAATTCCACAATGATAAAATAGTGAATTTTTCAGGAAGGTATGACAATCTGAATTTGTACATCCCACTATGTGACTTCAAAATATCAGATGCAAAAATTGACAGAATCAAAAGCAAAAATAAACAAACCTGGATAAATCTGATCAATTAAGCACATAAATTAATCCGAAAATATAAGATTTAAAACATCTGAACACAAGGATTAATACTGAATTATTGATACATAGAGACCACTGAAGTCAGAAATAAAAGAATTTCATTTTTTAAGTACACACAAAACATTTGCCAAAATTGGCCATATGCAGGAACCTAAAAAAAGACCCAGAAAAGCTCAAGTAATTGAAATACGTAAAATACATTCAGAATATATTATCTGACTACAGTAGAATTAAATTTGAACTCAATAATGAAAAGCTAACTAGAAAATGGCAAATTATTTTAAAATTAAGAAATATACTTCTAAAATATTTTTGTCAAAAGAGAAATAAAATGAAAATTAGAAAATGTTTTAAGCTGAAGCTCATTCAATTATTAAATGTTAATACTCGAGAGGCAGCTAAAGCTGAACATAAAAAATTGAAGTATTAAGTTCATATATTAGAAGATAAAAGTCTAAACATCAATCACAAGAAATTAGAATAAGGATAGGAAATTAAATCCAAATGAAGAAACAACAAAGATTAAAGCAGAAATTAATTTAAAAACACAGTGTAGGGAAAAAAATCAACAAAATCAAAAAATATTATTCTTTAAAAGACTAGTAATATTGATAAATTCCTATTAAAACTAATAGAGAAAACAAAAGAAGCTTAAAGCAATAACATCAGAATTGAAAAGGAAAATAATCACAGATCCTAAAGACATGAGAATATTTTAAGAGGGTGGTGTAACTAATTTTCTATCACTAATTTGTAAATCCAACTGAAATGGAAAAGTTCCTTGGAAAACACAACTTATAAAAACTGACACAAGAAGAAATAAAAAAATCTTAACAGTCCTGTCTAGAAAAGATATCAAATCTGTAATTATACCTTCACATAAGAGAACCACCAGAAGTAGATGGCTTCTCCAGAAATATTTCCAATGTTTAAAGAATAAATAATATAAACTATACAAATTCTTCACAGTAGAGAAAAAGAAACACTTCTCAAACTTGTCTTGAGGCCAGATTAACTTTAATTCCAAATCAAAGGGATTTTAAAAAATAGACAATCTGTTGTAAACGTAAATAGAAAAACACTAAATAAAACATTAGCAAATATTACATGTTAAAACAATTTTTAAATTATAAAATTATTGTATTTATTTCAGGAATCAAAATTTCATTTATGATTCAGAAATCAATCACTATACCACTGTATTGGGAAGTCAAGGTGGGAGGATCACTTGAGGCCTGGAGTTCAAGTTCAGCCTGGGAGACACAGCAAGACCCTGTCTCTGAAAAAATTAGCTGAGCTTGGTGGAACTTGCCTTTAGTCTCAGTGACTAGGGTGACTGAGGCAGAAGGAGAGCCTGAGCCAGGAGTTCAAGGCTGCAGTAAACTCTGATCTCACCACAGGACTCCAGCCTGGGTGACAGAGACTCTGTCTTTAAAAAAAAAAAAAAAGAAGAAGGTATAAAAATTACATAATCATCTTGATGAGAAAAACGTTAAATGAAATTCAATTTATGAATTTCAAAAGAAAGATAATAAAACTGGCATTTGCAGACAACTTATAAATGTAGAAAGTCTAAAATGTCTACAGAAAAAATAGAGTTAAATAATACATAAATGTAGCAAGATCACTAGAATCAAAGTTAATAAAAAATGTATTTCCATACAATAGCAATAAAAAACCTGTAAATTATTTTACAGAGTTTCATTTTTACAAAAGCATCATTTTTTTGACGCACATAAAGTTTACAATAGCATGAGGAAATATCGAATACCTATGATAAATCTAAGGAAGATGCACAAATACACAGAAAACTGTAAAACACTGGGAGAAACTTCAGAGGGCCCAAAGAAATGGAAGAAACTACCATGTCAATGCATTTGAAAGACTCAATATAAGGATGCCAAATGTCCAAATTTTAATTTACGGATTCCATAAATTCCTAATCAAAGCCCAATGAGTTGTTCTTTAAAAACTGAGAGGCAGATTTTAAAATTCATCTGGAAATGCAGGGTTGGAACATAAAGCCAATTCTGAAGAGGAGAAATTTATTGGAAGAAAAGAAAAGCAAGATCCGGCAATAAAAATAATTGTGGCAGTGAGGAATTGGCTCAGTGTTTGACAAAGAGATCAATGGTTCTAATAGGCAGCCCTGAAACAGGCCTACCCTTGTGTGGGGACTTGAACTCTGAAAGGCTGCACTTCAGGACAGTGGGGACGGCTTGTCCTTTCAATAGCTGGTACTGGGCCAACTGGATATGCCTTAGGAAAAGGAATGAATGTAGCCCCCCCTCTCCCTACACAGGCACATGCACACACATGCACACACACGTGCATGCACACACTCACATGCACACACATGCATGCACACACGTGCATGCACACACATGCGCAGGTGCACACACATGTGCATACACACACATGTGCACACACACAGTTCCAGAGATATTACAGGTCTAAATACACGCAGGAACGCTTCCAGAACCTAATGGAAGTTCTAACTACAAAGGATAATATTGATGAATGGCACTGAATTACATGTAAGAACCTCTGATCATCAAAGATTCCATTTAAGAGAATGAAAAGATGTCCCACAGAGCAAGAGGCGTTAGAAAAACCTGTGTTTGTAAAGGGCCTCATATCTGGAATCCGTAAAGACAGCACACTAGGAAAATGAGCACGGGACTCCATTCAGCCCTTCTTAACAGAGGCTACGCGATATCAGATGGCAGATAAAGAAAAGACGTTCGAGGTGACCGAGCATCCAGGAAGTTACATTAAACCATGACAAGATGCTGTCACAGCACCTGCAGGGGCTCCTGTGGAGAGGCTGACACCCTCGTGGCTGCAGAGATGTGTGGCAGGCGCCCTCCTGGCCTGGCAGTGGGTGTGTGGGTTGGTGGAGTGAAGTGTCTGCTGGGATGTGTTAGAGGGGACAGGCATGCTCTGCCACCCGGCATCCTGGGGCTACCCACACACAACAGAATACATAAGAAAATGTGGCACATATACACCATGGAATACTATGCAGCCATAAAAAATGATGAGTTCATGTCCTTTGTAGGGACATGGATGAAATTGGAAATCATCATTCTCAGTAAACTATCGCAAGAACAAAAAACCAAACACCGCATATTCTCACTCATAGGTGGGAATTGAACAATGAGAACACATGGACACAGGAAGGGGAACATCACACTCTGGGGACTATTGTGGGGTGGGGGGAGGGGGGAGGGATAGCATTAGGAGATATACCTAATGCTAAATGACGAGTTAATGGGTGCAGCACACCAGCATGGCACATGTATACATATGTAACTAACCTGCACATTGTGCACATGTACCCTAAAACTTAAAGTATAATAAAAAAAAGAATACATCCATAGATTCACCAAAAATATGCAGAAGATGTTTACAGCAGCATTATTGGTAAGAGTTTCAAACTAGAAAACAGGAGGAGAGAAGTGGAAGGAGGAGAGGGGTCTGTTGACGTTGCAATGGATGGATGAAGCATGCACACCCACAGGACGGGAGACCACAGTGGAGTCATGTACAGAGGACACCACACACCAGCTCAGCCAGGTCTCCCAGGCCCCACGCTGGGCGAGTGGAACCGCAGCCAACAAGCCCATGCTCCAGGGTCCACCACACCAGACACAATTCATAACTCATGGGAGGGGATTAAAAACAGCGGCTTCCTGGAGGGATGGTGGGTGGGTGGGAGTTGTGTTTCCGGATGGTGGCTGGGTGGGGCAAGCTGTGTTTCTGTACAGTGGCTGGAGGGAAGCTGTGTTTCTGGATGGTGGCTGGGGGGAAAGTTGTGTTTCTGGTTGCTTTGTCTGTCTCCATCCTCCTGGCCACCTCCAGAAGCTACAGGAAATAAATGCTCTTTTCATCCTGGTCCCTTGGCCACCTACTAATACAGAGAAGTTGCATCTAGGTGAATATTAACTTTTGCTTTTGCTTTTCCTTCCTTTGCATTGTGAATACAGGCCATTTGTGGTTTGTCTGTTCATACAGGCCGTCTGCGGTCTGACTGTGGGTACAGGCCGTCTGCGGTTTGACTGTGGGTACAGGCCGTCTGCGGTTTGACTGTGGGTACAGGCCGTCTGTGGTTTGACTGTTCATACAGGCCGTCTGCGGTCTGACTGTGGGTACAGGCCGTCTGCGGTTTGGTTGTGCATACAGGCCGTCTGTGGTTTGACTGTGGGTACAGGCCGTCTGCGGTTTGACTGTGCGCTGTGTGTTTCCTGGATGGACCCTAGAGCATGGGCTACTTCAGCCAAAAGTAAAACTGCAGACAGGGCCTGTATTCACAGCACACAGGAAGGAAAAGCAGAAGCAGAGATTAATATTTACCTAGACGCAACTTCTCCGTATTTGTGGGTGGCAAAGGGACCAGGATGGAAAGAGCGTTTATTTCCTGTAGCTTCTGGAGGTGGTCGAAAGGATGGAGACAGACAAAGCAAGAATCTTTTGTTTGCAACGTCCAGTCAAAGCAGGACGCAGACTGGGGAGGAGCATTCGGAAGCCTCAAAGAAACAAGAAAGCTCACTGTCATCATTGTCTTTACCGTCTTCACAGCTTCTGGATTTCTTACAGCATTCTTTCTAAAGCACAATTCCACTAAACTTTAGGACGTGGCCTCCCTGGCCCATAAACAGTAATTTTACCTCCTGATTTGTTTTTCTCTTTAATCATCCACTCAAATGCTCCACCGCCTTCTCCATCTGTGTCCAGATAGTGTGAGTTTATATTCATTATCTTCCTAAGTGCCTTTCCAGCACAGGGCGGTGAAAACGCGCCCGCTGGAAGCCATTCCCCTCCTTTCTTTTTGCCTCATCTTTATTCTTCCGTGACTCCCCTCATTAATTTACTCGATATCATTCCTCACATTCTGAGCACAGGGGAAAGGTATGCAATGGAGGAAACAAGCGGTGCTGTGGGGAAATAACAGGACTAAGATGCGCTTTGTGGGGAATATGGTCTTAACTCCAGGTATTCCAAAATTCCTCCTAATTATCTTGCCTTCCCTTATCTGTTATGCCATTCAAATAACACACGTGCATCTAGTCCTCTGTTATGTTGCTAGCTGAGCTAGCAATGGAGACAGAAAGCTGCATCTGCACAGACCCTCAGTGAGGGGCACAGGTGCAGGTCAGGAGGGTCCAGCACTGCACAGAAGGGAAAGCAACAATGCCTGCACACAGAGGTGCTGGTGACTGTTGGGGAGGTTGGGTTTGAAAGAACAGAGAACAAGGTGAGGGCACCCAGTGACTTAGGGTGGCCAGCGTGTAGCATCCGTGGGCCAAATAGTGGGGAGCGTGGGTGAGGGAAGGAGAGGCCCGTTCTGAAGCCTCTCAGATGCCGCCTGCAGAACTGCACTTCCCTCCCAGGCAGCCTGGAGAGCCCGGGGCTGAGTCCTGAGCGCTGACCAGATGTAACTTGAAGCACCTCACGGAAATCCACCACACCCGTGGGTTCCTGTTCCAGTTCCTGAAACATAGTGCTATCACAACTCAGTAAATATCCCGTCTGTAGCTTTTTGGAAAGAAACCGTGGAACCAAAAACTGAAAGTTTGATAGAGATATTAAGGGGAGATACTCAGAGTGGTGAAACAGTAAACTAAAAATTTGAATGCAGAGATTTTAGAGAAATTCTCCTTATTGCCCATTTCAGACAGACACCCTGCTTAGGATGTCTATGTTTCAGTGCGTCATTCACGTCAGTTTGTGGAACTTTCTGTCCTTTCCAGCACATTGTATGTGTTTTCATTTTACCCTTGTCATATAGTAACTTTATACAGAGAACAGCAGCAGAGACTGGGAGAGACTGTTTCCCCCAATTTATAAAGGAGAGAACCCTGGCTGGAGGGTGGCCGCTGCGCTAACATCAAGCAGCTGGTGGCCCCGCTGTGGCCGGCAGTCCCACACCCTGAGGCCCCTGCAGAGGGGATGCTGTCCTGCCAGCTTCCTATAAATCCAATCTCAGGAAAAATGGCCTCTATCCTGTGTAGTTCTCCCTGGGAAAGTCTCTATGAGAACATGACGAGCAATTCTGAAAGGAAGGGGATACGACCCCTCTTGGCTTTTCGGAAACCTGGGTGTGCCCTGCCCACCTGCTGCTCCCCACGCCATGATCCCAGCATCTCCTCCTCCCGCCAGGTCTCTCCTGAAGGGCTGGCTTTCCTTGCTTTTCAATCCTCTGCCTAACCTCCCTCCCCTCACCCTCCCCATGCCTAGAACTGTCCTGACTCCAATAATGCAGGGATGACAATGGCAGCCCCGTCCTGCCCTAGCAAAGCCGTTCCAACGGCCAACGGAACAGCTGTTACCACTTCACCGAAGTCGCCGCACTTCCCAAAACCCTGTGACTCCAGGGCTTACAGAACAAGCATGAATTGAGACCTGCCCTTTTCAGCTCTTCACGTCAGAAATGCCATGTTTTATCTTCTTATGGCACTTTTACAAAAGATGTTCTATACTAGACCCAAATAATTCACAAATATCTATCGAAGCCATAAGGGAACACTGGCTTCCCTTCTAATCTCTGTGTGCGAACACTGCATCTAGCTTCTTTCTTGCAAATCTCTACGTTCAAGGGATATGCTAAGCCTATCAACTCATTTTCTCTAACATTTAAAATTATGAGGCATGTGATGCTCAGAACTCATGGCTTCTGTGTCGTACTTTTTTTCTTCAGAAAAAAATTAACTGTATAACCCTTCATTCTGTTGGTGAACCACCTTATGATGCATAATTTTATTATACAATTAATACACACAAAAAACTGTATAGCAACCTCTCAGAACCTTAAAGATCTTCAAATCCTTAAATAAAATGCAAATTTACTTTCCAAAGATTTCTTAGGAAAAACGATTGTCTAAAATGGCAATTTCATAGCAAAAAAAAAAACTTATATACGTAGGCAGAATATGGACACTTCTGAATCATCTAAAAAGCAGAAAAATACCTTGAGATGTATTTCTCCAAGTCATTCTTAAACAAAAAATAAGCTTACTTATTTGCAAATTTTTCCATATACAATCTTTATAGCATGCTTAAAAATTATAATGAGTTCATTTCAGAAATTTTTGAAAATATTTTTCAAAATTTAGAGAAACAAAGAAAGCATCTAAAATCTAAACATAAGCATCAAGCTTTTGTATAAATATCATTAGTATTCAGCCTTGAGTCATTTTTTTCAGTCATTTTTATATGTTAAGCACTTTACTCATGTTATTAAATATTCTTGAAGACTATGATTTTTGTTGCCAAGTTTTGGGTACATAATTCATTTTCTCATTCCTCTATGTTAGAACCTGAAGGTTGTTTCCAAATTTTTGCTAATACTTACCCATGTCTTTGAGTATGTCCACAGGAAAAATATTCTAGAATTGGTGTAATCTCTTATAAAGGTTATGGCTGTCTGAGTTCCCATTAATAATATAAGAAAGATCCTATTTGACCACAACACCAACATTCTGGATTACATTTTTCTTTTTTTAATAATATAGGCTCTCTTCTAACCATCAGCTGTGTG